>NC_000016.10:46380682-46683712 GCF_000001405.40 Homo sapiens
GAATTCCATTCGATTATCATTCCGTATGAATCCATTTGATGATTATTCCATTGGATTCCTTTCGATGATGATTCCATTCAATTCCATTTGATGATGTTTCTCTTGTATTCCATTGGATAATTCCTTTCAGTTCCCTACGATGATTATTCTTTCGAGTCAATTCGATGATTCTATTCCATTCCCTTCGATGATGATTCCATTTCACTCCATTTGATGATTCCATTCGACTCAATTTGGTGATGATTCAATTCGATGACATTCGATGACTCCATTCAATTTCATTTGATGATGATTACATTCGAGTCCATTTGATGATTGTATTCCTTTCCTTTTGATGATTATTCCATTCGTGTCTATTCAAAGGTTCCATTCTATTCCATTCAATGATGATTGCATTTGATTCCATTCAAAGATTCCTTTCGAGTCCATTCCATAATTCTATTGGATTCCACTAGGTGATGATTCCTTTCGAGTCAATTCGATGATTCCTTTCAAGGGCCTTCAATGATTCCATTCGATTCCATTCGATGACGATTCATTTCAAGTCCATACAATGATTCCATTCTGTTGAATTTGATGGTTCCATTTGATTCCATTCGATGATGATTCCATTCGTGTCCATTGGACGATTCCATTCGATTCCTTTCGAGGAAGATTCCATTCGACTCCATTCGATGATTCCATTCGATTCCATTCCATGATGATTCCATTTGATTCCATTCCATGATTCCATTCGATAACATTCGATGATGATTCCATTCGACTCCATTTGATGAATCCATTCAATGCTTCCATTCGAGTCCATTCGAGGATTTCATTCGATTCCATTCGATGAAGATTCCATTCGAGTACATTTGATGATTCCATTTAATTCCATAGGATGATGATTCTGTTAGGGTCCTTTGACTATTCCATTCAATTCCATTCGAAGATTGCATTCGAGTCCACTCGATGATTCTATTTGATTCCATTTGATAATTCCATTCGATTCCATTTGATGTTGATTCCATTCCAGTCCATTCGATCATTATTACATTTGATTCTATTCGATGATTCCATTCGATTCCATTTGATGAGGATTCCATTCGAGAGCATTTGATGACTGCATTCAATTCATTTGATGATGATTCCATTCAATTCCATTGGATGATTCCAATATTTTCCATTAGATGATGATTCCATTCGATTCTATTCAATGATGATTCCATCAGAATCCATTCGATGATGACTCCTTTTGCTTCCATTCAATGAACATTACATTCGGTTACATTCGATGATGATTCCTTTGGATTCCATTTGATGATGCTTCCATTCGATTCCATTTGATGATGATTCTTTTCGATTCCATTTGATGATGATTCCATTTGATTCCATTCGATGGTGATTCCATTTGATTCCATTTGATGATTCCATTCTTTTGTATTCGATGAGGATTCCACTCGATTCCATTTGATGATGACTGCATACGATTCCATTTGATGATTCCATTTGATTCCATTCGATGATGATTCTGATCAATTGCATTCGATCATTCATTCGATTCCATTTTATGGTTCCATTTGATTCCATTTGATAATGATTCCTTTCGAGTCCATTCGATGATTCCATTTGCGGATATTCGATAATTCCATTTGAGTCCAATCGATGATTCCATTCGAGAATATTCAATCATTCTTTTTGAGTCCTTTCGATAAAGATTCCATTTGAGTCCATTCAATAATTCCACTGGAGTCCATTCGATGATTGCTTTTAATTCCATTCGATGATATTCCATTCGAGTCCATTCGATGATTCCATTCGTTGCTATTAGATGATTATTCCATTCATGACAATTTGGTGATTCCATTCGATTTCATTCGTTGATGATTCCAATGGAATCCATTGGAATCATTGAATAAAATCGAATGGAATCTTCTAATGGAATCTAACGGAATAATCATCGAATGGAATCAAATGGAATCAACGAGTGGAATCGATAGCCATAATCATTGAATAGAATCAAATGGAATCATCGTTGAATGGAATAGAATGGAATCTTTGAATAGACACGAATGGAATAATCATCAAAAGGAAAGGAATACAATCATCAAATGGACTCGAATGTAATCATCATCAAATGAAATTGAATGGAGTCATCGAATGTCATCGAATTGAATCATCACCAAATTGAGTCGAATGGAATCATCGAATGGAGTGAAATGGAATCATCATCGAAGGGAATGGAATAGAATCATCGAATTGACTCGAAAGAATCATCATCGAAGGGAATTGAAAGGAATTATCAAATGGAATACAAGAGAAACATCATCAAATGGAATCGAATGGAATCATCATCGAAAGGAATCCAATGGAATAATCATCAAATGGATTCATACGGAATCATAATCGAATGCAATTCAAACGAATCTTCATCGAAGGGAATCGAATGCAACAATCGAATGGAATCTAATGGAATCATCATCGAATGGAATCGACCGGAATCATCGAATGGAATAGAAGAGAATCATCATTGAATGGAATCGAATGGAATCGTCAATGAATGGAATCGAATGGAATAATCAGTGAATGGATTCATACGGAAGCATCATCGAATGGAATTGAATGGAATCATCTTCGAATGGAATTGAATGGAATCGAATGGAATGATCGTTTGGACTCCAATGGAATCATCGAATGGACTTGAATGGAATCATCATTGAAAGGAATCAAGTGAAATCATCATCAGATGGAATCAAATGGAATCATCACTGAATGGAATGAAATGGAATCATCGAAGGGAAAGAGATGGAATCATCATCGAATGGAATCAAATAGAAGCATTGAATGAAATCGAATGGAATCATAATAGAACAGAATTGAATAGAATCATCATCGAATGGACTCGAATGGAAACATCGTCAAATGGAATGGAAAGGAATCATCGTCGAATGGAGTCGAATGGAATCATCAATGAATGAAATCGAATGGAATCATAATAGAACAGAATTGAATACAATCATCGTCGAATGGACTCTAATGGAAACATCGTCAAATGGAATCGAAAGGAACCATCATCGAATGGAGTCGAATGGAATCATCAATGAATGGAATCGAATGGAATCATCATAGAAAGGAATCATAGGGAATCATTGCAAGGAATCGAACTGAATCATCAAATGGCATCAAATGGAATCATCATTAAATGGAATTGAAGGGAATCATCAAGTGGACATGAATAGAATACAAAAATGGACTCGAATGGAATCATTGAATGGAACCGAATGGAATCATCGATTGGACTTGAATGGAATCATCGTCAAGTGGAATCAGATGGAATCAACGAAGGGATTTGAATGGAATAATCGAATGAATTCGAATGGAATCCACATAGAATGGAATTGAATTGAATCATTCAATGGACTCCAATGGAATCATCATCGAATGGAGTCAAATGAAATCATCATCACATGGAATCAAATGGAATCATCACTGAATAGAATCGAATGGAATCATCGAATGGACTCGAATGGAATCATAGAATGGAATAGAACGGAATCATCGAATGGACTCGAATGGAATCATGGAATGGACTCGAATGGAATCATCAACGAATGAAATCGAATGGAATCACCAAATGGTCATGAATGGAATCATCATCTAATAGCAACGAATGGAATCCTCGAATGGACTCGAATGGAAGCATTGAATGGATTCATCAAATGGAGCCGAATGGAATCATCATCGAATGGTATCGAATGGAATCATGGAATGGAATCAAATGGAATCATCATGGAATGGAATCGAACGGAATCATCGAATGGAGTCGAATGGAATCTTCCTCGAAAGGAATCGAATGGAATCGTCCAATGGACACGAATGGAATCATCATCGAATGGAATCAAATGGAACCATCAAATTCAACAGAATGGAACCATTGAATGGACTGGAAATGAATCGTCATCGAATGGAATCGAATGGAATCATTGAAGGCCCTTGAAAGGAATCATCGAATTGACTCAAAAGGAATCATCACCTAGTGGAATCCAATAGAATTATCGAATGGACTCGAAAGGAATCTTTGAATGGACTCAAATGGAATCATCATCGAATGGAATCTAATGGAATCATTGAATGGAGCCCTCATCGAATGTAATAAAAGAGAATCACCGAATGCACTAAAATGGGATGATCGAATAGCCTCGAATTGCATCATCATTAAACGGAATCGAATGGAGTCATCTCATGGACTCGAATGTAATCATCAAATGGACTCAAAAGGAATCATCATCAAGTGGAATCGAGTGAAATCGTCGAATGGACTCGAATGCCTTCATCGAATGTGGTCGAATGGAATCATCATTGAATAGAATCGAATGGAATCATCACATGGGCTCGAATGTAATCATTATCGAATGGAATCATCATCGAATGGAATGGAATGGAATCATTGAATGGAATCGAATGGAATCATCATCAAATGGAATCAAAAGGAATAATCGAATGGACTCGAAGGGAATCATCGAATGAACTCTAATGGAATCATTATCAAACGGAATCCAATGGAATCATTGAATGGACTCGAATGGAATCATCATCGAATGGAATTGAATGGAATCATCGAATGGAATGGAATGGAATCATCCTCGAATGGAATCTAATGAAATCACCGAATGGACACGAATGGAATCATCCAATGGATTTGAGTGGAATCATCATTGAATGGAATCGAATGGAATCATCAAATGGACTCGAATGGAATCATCTTCGAATGGAATCGAATGAAATCACAATCGAATGGAATGGAATGGAGTCATCATGTAATGGAGTCGAATGGAATCATCATTGAATATAATAGAATGGAATCACCATATTGAATCAAATGGAAAGATCATCGAATGGAATTGAAGGGAATCATCGAATGGGAATGAAAGGAGTCATCAAATGGAATTGAGTGGAATCATCAAATCGATTCGAATGGAATGATCATCGAATGGAATTGAATGGTATCATCGAATGGACTCGAATGGAATCATCATCAAATGGAACCAAATGGAATCATCGAATGGACACGAATGCAATCATCATTGAGTGGAATCAAATGGAATCTTTGAATGGCATCGAATGGAATCATCATCGAATGTAGTCTAATAAAATAACCGAATGGACTCAAATAGAATCATCGATTCAAGTCGAATGGAATCATCATCGAATGGAATCCAATGGAATCATCGAATAGCATCAAATGGAATCATCGTCGAATGGATTCAAATGGAATCATCGAATGGACTCGAATGGAATCGTCATGGAATGTAATCGAATGGAATCTTCGAATGGACTCGAATGGAATCATCATAGAATGGAATCTAATGGAATCATCGAACGGAATAGAATTGAATCAACATTGAATGCAATCGAGTAGAATCATTCAATGAAATCGAATGGAATCATCATCGAATGGAATCGGGTGGAATCATCAATGAATGGAATCGAATGGAATCATAGAATGGAATCCAATGTAATCATCTTCGAATAGAAAACAAAGCAATCATTAAATGTACTCTAATGGAATCATCGAATGGACTCGAATGGAATCATCGTTGAATGGAATATAATGGAATCATCGCATGCAATCGAATGGAATCATCGAATGGACTCGAATGGAATCATCATAGAATGGAATTGAAAGGAATCATCAAATGGAATTGAATGAAATCATTGAATGGACTCAAAAGGAATCATCATCGAATGGTATTGAATGGAATCGTTGAGTTTACTCTAATGGGATAATCATTGAATGGAATTGAATGCAATCATTGAATGGAATAGAATGGAATCATCATTGAATGGAATCAAATGGAATCCTCAATGAATGGAATCGAATGGAATCATCATCGAATGGAATTGAACGGAAACATCAGCGAATGGAATCGAAAGGAATCATCATGGAATAGATTCGAATGGAATCATTGAATGGAATGGAATGGAATCATCACAGAAAGGAATCAAAGGGAATCATCGAATGGAATCAAACGGAATCATCGAATGGAATGGAATGGAATGGAATCATCATCGAATGGACTCAAATGGAATAATCTTCGAAAGGAATCGAATGGAATCGAATGGAACAATGAAATGGACTCCAATGGAATCATCTAATGGAATCGAGTGGAATCATCGAATGGACTCGAATGGAATCATCATCAAATGAGATCGGATGGAATCAATGAAGGGACTCGAATGAAATCATCGAATGGACTCTAATGGAATCATCATCAAATGAAATTGAATGGGATCATCATCAAATGTAATTGAATGGTATCATTATCAAAAGAAATCCAGTGGAATCACCAAATGGACTCGACTGTAATGATTAAATGGACTCGAATGGAATCATCAAATGGAATCGAATGGAATCATCGAATGGACTCGAATGGAATTTTTGAATGGACTCGAATGGAGTCATTGAATGGACTCTAGTAGAAACATAATCAAATGGAATCAAATGGAATCATCAAATGGACTCGAATGGAATCATTGGATGTACTCGAATGAAATCATCGAATGGACTCAAATGGAATCATCATCGAATGGAATCAAATGGAATCCTCGAATAGAATCAGATGGAATCATCAAATGGAATCGAATGTAATCATCATCAAATGGAATAGAATGGAGTGATCGAATGGAATCAATGGCAATCATCATCCACTGGAATCAAACGGAATCATTGAATGGAATCGAATGGAATCAATGTCAAGTGGAATCGAGTGGAATCATCGAAAGAAATCGAATGGAATCATTGTCGAATGGAATGCAATGGAATCAAAGAATTGAATTGAATAGAATCACCAATGAATTGAATCGAATGGAATCCTCATCGAATGGAATCGAAGGGAATCATTGGATGGGCTGAAATAGTATCATCATCTAATGGAATCATGTGGAATCATCTAAGGGACACAAATAGAATCATCATTGAATGGAATCGAATGGAATCATCTAATGTACTCGAATGGAATCACCATTGAATAGAATAGAATGGAATCATCGAATGGAATCGAATGGAATCATCATCATATGGAATTGAGTGGAATCATCGTACGGACTCGAATGTAATCATCAGAGACTGGAATCAAATGGAATCATTAAATGGACTCTAATGGAATCATCATCGATTGGAATCGAATGGAATCATTGAATGGACTCCAATGGAATCATCACCAAATATAATCAAAAGAAATCATCAAATGGATTCGAATAGAATCATCGAATGGACTCGAATGGAATCATCATCGAATGGAATCAAATGGAATCATCAAATGGACTCGAATGAAATCATCATCAAACGGAATCGAATGGAATCATTGAATGGAATGGAATGGAATCATCATGGAATGGAAACGAGTGGAATCACTGAATGGACTCAAATGGGATCATCATCAAATGGAATCGAATGGAATCATCTAATGAACTTGAAAGGAATCATCATCAAATGAAGTCAAATGGAATCACCAAATCGACATGAATGGAATCATCATTGAATAGAATCGAATGGAATGATTGAATGGGCTAGAATGGAATCATCTTTGAATGGAATCAAATGGAATCATCATCGAATGGAATCGAATGGAAATGTCAACCAATTGAATCAAATAGAATCATCATGGAATTGAATCGAATGGCTCACTGTCGAATCAAATCCAATGGAATCATCATCGTATGGAAATGAATGGAATCATTGAATGGAATTGAATGGAATCATCATTGAATGGAATCGAATGAAATCATCAACGAATGGAATCTAATGTAATCATCATAGAATTGAAACCAATGGATTCATTAAATGGACTCGAATGGAATCATCGAATGGAATCGAATGGAATCATCATCAAATGAAGTAGAATGCAATCATCAAATGGAATCGAATGGAATCATCATCGAATTGAATCTAATGGAATAATAGAATGAACTCGAATGGAAACATCGAATGGAGTTGAATGGAATCATCATCGAATGAGATCGAATGGAATCATCGAATAACATCGAATGGAATCATCGTCGAATGGAGTCTAATGGAATCATCAAATGGACTCGAACGGAATCGTCATGGAATGTAATTGAATAGAATCTTCTAACAGACTCAAGTGGAATCATCATCGAATGCAAGCGAATAGAATCATCATCGAATTTAATCGAATGGAGTCATCATCATATGGAATCGAGTGGAAGCATTGAATGGGCTCAAAAGAAATCATCGGAGAATGGAATTGAATGGAATCATCAAATGGACTCGAATGGAATCATCATCAAATGGAATCAAATGGAATCATCGAATGGACACGAATCAAATCATCGTTGAATGGAATCGAATGGAATCATCGAATGGACTCCAAGGGAATCATTAGCGAATGAAATTGAATGAAATCATAATCGAATGGAGTCGAATGGAATCATCATCGAATGGAGTCGAATGGAAACATCACTGAATGGAATCAAATGAAATCACCGAATTGAATCAAATGGAATGATCATCAAAGGGAATCAAAGGAAATCATCGAATGGGATCAAATGGAGTCATCGAATAGAATCGAGTGGAATCATCGAATGGATTTGAACAGAATCAACATCGAATGGAATCGAATGGAATCATCGAATGGACTCGAATGGAATCATCTAATGCACTCGAATGGAATAATCATCGAATGTAATCGAATGGACTCATCCAATGTAATCAAATGGAATCATCAAATGGAATCGAACGGAATCATCATCAAATGGAACCGTATGGAATCATTTAATGGAATCAAAGGCAATCATGGTCGAATGGAATCAAATGGAAACATCATTGAATAGAATTGAATGGAATCATCACATGGAATCAAATGGAATCATCGTAAATGGAATCAAGTGGAATCATCGAATGGAATCTAATGGAATCACCATCGAATGAAATTGAGTGGAATCTTTGAATGAATTCGATTGGAATCATCATCGAATGGACTTGAATTGAATTATCGAATGGATTTGAATGGAATCATCATCGAATGGAATCCAATGGAATCATCGAGTGGAATCGAATGGAATCATCATTGACTTGAATTGAATGGAATCATCAAATGGACTCGAATGGAATCATCATAGAATGGAATCGAATGCAATTATCGAATGGACTTGAATGAAATCACCTTTGAATGGAATCAAAGGGAATGATCGAAAGGAATCGAATGCCATCATCATCGAATGGAATCGAAAGGAATCATCGAATGGAATTGAATGGAATCACCATTGAATGGACTCGAATGGAATCATCATCGTATGGAATCGAATGGAATCATCATCATATGGAATCAAATGGAATCATCGAATGGACAAGAATGGAATCATCGTCAAATGGAATCAAGTGGATCATCGAATAGAAACTAATGGAATCATTGTTGAAAGAAATGGAATGGAATCATTGAATGGAATTGAGTGGAATCACCAATGAATGGAATCGAATGGAATCATCATCAAATGGAATAGAATGGAATAATGGAATGGACACGAATGGAAACCTGTGGAACCATAGAATGAACACGAAATGAATCATAATCGAATGCAATCGAAAGGAATCATCATTGAATGCAATCACATGGAATCATCACAGAATGGAATCGTACGGAATCATCATCGAATGGAATTGAATGGAATCATCAATTGGACTCGAATGGAAACATCAAATGGAATCGATTGGAAGTGTCGAATGGACTCGAATGAAATCATCGAGTGGAATCGAATGGAATCATCGAAAGGACTCGAATCAAATCATAAAATGGACTCGAATGGAATCATCGAATGCACTCCAATGGAATCAACATCGAACGGACCCTACCGGAATGATCAAATGGACTCGAATGGAATCATTGAATGGAAATGAATGGAATCATTGAATGGACTCAAATGGAATTATCGAACGGGCTCAAATGGAATCATCGAATGGACTCGGATGTAATCATTATCGAATGGAATCGAATGGAATCATCGAATGGAATTGATCGAAATCATTATCGAATGGAATCAAATGAAATCATCAAATGGAATCGAATCCAATCATCATCGAATGGAATCGAATGGAATCATCATCGAATACAATAGAATGGAATCATCAAATGGAATCGAATGGAATCATCATCGAATGGAATCGAATGGAATCATCAAATGGAATCCAATGGAATCATCATCAAATGGATTCAAATGGAATCATTTTCGAATAGAATCGAATGGAATCATTGAATGGAATCATCATCAAATGGAGTCCAGAGGAATCACTGAATTGAATGGAATTATCATTGAATGGAATCGAATGGAATCATCAAATGGAATCTAATGGAATCATCATCAAATGGATTCAAATGGAATCATTTTCGAATAGAATCGAATGGAATCATTGAATGGAATCATCATCAAATGGAGTCCAGAGGAATCACTGAATTGAATGGAATTATCATTGAATGGAATCGAATAGAATCATCCAATGGAATCAAATGGAATTATCATCAAATGGAATCGAATGATATCATCGAATGCACTTGAATGGAAGCATCAACGAATGGAATTGAATGGTATCATCGAATGGACTCGAATGGAATCATCTTCGAGTAGAATCTAAAGGATTCACTAAGTGGACTCCAATGGAATAATCATCAAATGGAATCGAGTGGAATCATCATATATACTCGAATGGTAACATCGAATGGAATCGAATGGAATCATCAAATGGATTTGAATGGAATAGTCATCAAATGGAATCAAGTGGAACGATCGAATGGACTGGAATGGAATCATCATCGAATGCATTTGAATGGAATCATCGAATACACTCGAATGGAATCTTCATCGATAGGAAATGAATGGAATCATCAAATGGACACGAATGGAATCATTGTCGAATGGAATCATATGGAATCATCAAATGGACTCGAATGCAATCATCGAATGAACTCGAATGGAATCATCATCGAATGGAATCGAATAGAATCATTGAATGGACTCGAATGTAGTGATCAAAAGGACTCGAAAGGCATTAACGAATGGACTCGAATGGAATCATTGAATGGACCCTAATGGAATCATCATCAAATGGAAAAGAATGGAATCATCAAATGGACTCGAATGGAATCATCAAATGGACTCAAATGGAATCAGTGAATGGAGTCGAATGGAATCATCATTGAATGGAATCAATTGGAATCATTGAATAAAATCGAATGGAATCTTCTAATGGAATCTAACGGAATAATCATCGAATGGAATCAAATGGAATCAACGAGTGGAATCGATAGCCATAATCATTGAATAGAATCAAATGGAATCATCATTGAATGGAATAGAATGGAATCTTTGAATAGACACGAATGGAATAATCATCAAAAGGAAAGGAATACAATCATCAAATGGACTCGAATGTAATCATCATCAAATGAAATTGAATGGAGTCATCGAATGACATCGAATTGAATCATCACCAAATTGAGTCGAATGGAATCATCGAATGGAGTGAAATGGAATCATCATCGAAGGGAATGGAATAGAATCATCGAATTGACTCGAAAGAATCATCATCGAAGGGAATTGAAAGGAATTATCCAATGGAATACAAGAGAAACATCATCAAATGGAATCGAATGGAATCATCATCGAAAGGAATACAACGGAATAATCATCAAATGGATTCATACGGAATCATAATCGAATGGAATTCAAACGAATCATCATCGAAGGGAATCGAATGCAACAATCGAATGGAATCTAATGGAATCATCATTGAATGGAATCGACCGGAATCATCGAATGGAATAGAAGAGAATCATCATTGAATGGAATCGAATGGAATCGTCAATGAATGGAATAAAATGGAATAATCAGTGAATGGATTCATACGGAAGCATCATCGAATGGAATTGAATGGAATCATCTTCGAATGGAATTGAATGGAATCGAATGGAATGATCGTTTGGACTCCATTGGAATCATCGAATGGACTTGGATGGAATCCTCATTGAAAGGAATCAAGTGAAATCATCATCAGATGGAATCAAATGGAATCATCACTGAATGGAATTAAATGGAATCATCGAAGGGAAAGAGATGGAATCATCATCGAATGGAATCAAATAGAAGCATTGAATGAAATCGAATGGAATCATAATAGAACAGAATTGAATAGAATCATCATCGAATGGACTCGAATGGAAACATCGTCAAATGGAATGGAAAGGAATCATCGTCGAATGGAGTCGAATGGAATCATCAATGAATGAAATCGAATGGAATCATAATAGAACAGAATTGAATAGAATCATCGTCGAATGGACTCTAATGGAAACATCCTCAAATGGAATCGAAAGGAATCATCATCGAATGGAGTCGAATGGAATCATCAATGAATGGAATCGAATGGAATCACCATAGAAAGGAATCGTAGGGAATCATTGCAAGGAATCGAACTGAATCATCAAATGGCATCAAATGGAATCATCATTAAATGGAATTGAATGGAATCATCAAGTGGACATGAATAGAATACAAAAATGGACTCGAATGGAATCATTGAATGGAACCGAATGGAATCATCGATTGGACTTGAATGGAATCATCGTCAAGTGGAATCAGATGGAATCAACGAAGGGATTTGAATGGAATAATCGAATGAATTCGAATGGAATCCACATAGAATGGAATTGAATTGAATCATTCAATGGACTCCAATGGAATCATCATCGAATGGAGTCAAATGAAATCATCATCAGATGGAATCAAATGGAATCATCACTGAATGGAATCGAATGGAATCATCGAATGGACTCGAATGGAATCATAGAATGGAATAGAACGGAATCATCGAATGGACTCGAATGGAATCATCATCCAATGGAATTGGATGGAATCATCATCGAATGGAATCAAATGCAATTAATGAATGGAATTGAAAGGAATCATCTTCCAATGAAATCAAATAGAAGCATCGAATGAAATAGAATGGAATCAGAGAATGGATTCAGATGGAATCATCATCAAATGGAATCGAATAGAAGCATTGAATGAAATCAAATGGAATTATCATCCAATGGACTCGTATGGAATCATCATCGAATTGACTCATATGGAATCATCGTCGAATGGATTCCAATGGAATCATCATCGAATGGATTTGAATGGAAACATCATCTAACTGAATCCAATAGAATCATCATGGAATTGAATCGAATTGCTCACCGTCGAATGGAATCAAATGGAATCACCGAATGGAATCGAATGGAATCATCATTGAATGGAATCAAATGGAGTCATCGTCGAATGGAATGAAATGGAATCATCCAATGGAAGAGAATTGAATCATCATCGAATGGAATCGAATAGAATCATCGAAAGGAATCTACTAGAATCATCAAATGAAATCGAATGGAATCATCATTGAATAGAATCCAATGGAATCAACATCAAATGGAATCAAATGGAATCATCATCGAATGGAATCGAATGGAATCATCATCAAATGGAATCGAATGGAATCATCCAATATAATAGAATTGAATCACCATCGAACGGAATCGAATAGAATCATCGAATGAACTCAAATGGAATCATCATTGAATGGAATCGAATCATCAACGAATGGAATTGAATGGAATCATAGAATGGAATCCAATGTAACCATCATCGAATTGAACCCAATGGAATCATTAAATGGACTCGAATAGAATCATCGAATGGACTCGAATGGAATCATCATCGAATGGAATAGAATGGAGTCTGGAATCGAATGGAATCATCATCAAATGAAATCAAATGGAATCATCGTATGGACTCCAACGGAATCATCATCGACTGGAATAGAATAGAAGCATCGAATGAAATCAAATGGAATTATCATCGAACGGAGCCATATGGAATCATCATTGAATTGACTCATATGGAATCATCGCCGAATGGATTCCAATGGAATAATCATGGAATGGATTCGAATGGAAACATCATCTAATTGAATCAAATAGAATCATCATGGAATTGAATCGAATTGCTCACCGTCGAATGGAATCAAATGGAATCATCGAATGGAATCGAATGGAATCATCATCGAATGGAATGAAATGGAATCATCCAATGGACGAGAAGTGAATCATCATTGAATGGAATCGAATAGAATCATCAAATGAAATCCAATGGAATCATCATCGAATAGAATCGAATTGAATCAACATCAAATGGAATCGAATGGAATCATCCAATGTAATAGAATGGAATCACCATCGAAGAGAATCGAATAGAATCATCGAATGAACTCAAATGGAATCATCATCGAATGGAATCAAATTGTCAATGAACGGAATGGAATGGAATCATAGAACGGAATCCAATGTAATCATCATTGAATTGAACCCAATGGAATCATTAAATGGACTCGAATGGAATCTTCGAATGGACTCGAATGCAATCATCATCAAATGGAATAGAATGGAATCATCGAATGGAATCGAATGGAATCATCATCGAATGAAATCAAATGGAATCATCATATGGACACGAATGGAATCATCATCGAATGGAACTGAATGGAATCATCGAATGGACTCGAATGGAATCATCATCGAATTGAATTCAAAGAAATCATCAAATGGACTTGAATGGAATCATGGAATGGACTCGAATGGAATCATCAACGAATGAAATCGAATGGAATCACCAAATGGTCATGAATGGAATCATCATCTAATAGCAACGAATGGAATCATCGAATGGACTCGAATGGAATATCATCGAATGGAATTAAAAGCAATCATCGAATGGACTCCAGTGGAATTATTGAATGGACGAAAATGGAATCTTTATCGAAAGGACTCAAAAAGAATGATTGAATGGTCTCGAATGGAATCATCGATTGGACTCAAATGGAATTACCGAATCTCTGCAAATGGAACCATCGAATGGACTCGAAAGGAATCATTATCAAATGGAATCAAATGGAACCATCAAATGGAATCGAATGGATCATCGAATGCAATTGATCAGAATCATCATCGAATGGAATCAAATGGAATCATCAAATAGAATCGAATGCAGTCATCATCAAATAGAATCGAGTGGAATCATCATCGAATACAATCGAATGGAATCATCAAATGGAATCACCATCGAATGGAATCAAATGGAATCATCATCAAATGGAATCGAAAAGAATCATCATCAAATGGAATCGAATGGAAGCATCATCGAATGGAATGCAAAGGAATCATCATCGAATATAACCGAATGTAATGATCATTGAATGGAAGCAAAAGGAGTCATCATCGAATGGATTCTGATGGAATCATCATTGAATGGAATCGAATGGAATCATCATGTAATGGAAAATATTGGAATCATCCAATGGAATTGAATGGAATCATCATCAAATGAATTGAATGCAATCATCAAATGGTCTCGAATGGAATCCTCATCAAATGGAATCGAATGGAATCATCGAATAGAATCAAATGTAATAATGATAGAATGGACTCGAATGGACTCAACATCAAATGGAATCGAATGGAATTATCAAATGGAATCAAATAGAATCATTGAGTGGACTCGAATGGAATCTTCGAATGCAATTGAATGGAATAGTCAACGGACCCTAATAGAATCATCATCCTATGGAATTAAATGGAATCATCAAATGTACTCGAATGGAATCTTCATCGAATGGAATCGAATGGAATCCTCGAATGGACTCGAATGGGAGCATTGAATGGATTCATCAAATGGAGTAGAATGGAATCATCATCGAATGGTATCGAATGGAATCATGGAATGGAATCAAATGGAATCATCATGGAATGGAATCGAACGGAATCATCAAATGGATTCGAATGGAATCTTCCTCGAAAGGAATCGAATGGAATCGTCCAATGGACACGAATGGAATCATCATCGAATGGAATCAAATGGAACCATCAAATTCAACAGAATGGAACCATTGAATGGACTTGAAATGAATCGTCATCGAATGGAATCGAATGGAATCATTGAAGGCCCTTGAAAGGAATCATCGAATTGACTCGAAAGGAATCATCACCTAGTGGAATCCAGTAGAATTATCGAATGGACTCGAAAGGAATCTTTGAATGGACTCAAATGGAATCATCATCGAATGGAATCTAATGGAATCATTGAATGGAGCCCTCATCGAATGTAATAAAAGTGAATCACCGAATGCACTAAAATGGGATGATCGAATAGCCTCGAATTGCATCATCATTAAACGGAATCAAATGGAGTCATCTCATGGACTCGAATGTAATCATCAAATGGACTCAAAAGGAATCATCATCAAGTGGAATCGAGTGAAATCGTCGAATGGACTCGAATGCCATCATCGAATGTGGTCGAATGGAATCATCATTGAATAGAATCTAATGGAATCATCACATGGGCTCGAATGTAATCATTATCGAATGGAATCATCATCGAATGGAATGGAATGGAATCATTGAATGGAATCGAATGGAATCATCATCAAATGGAATCAAAAGGAATAATCGAATGGACTCGAAGGGAATCATCGAATGAACTCTAATGGAATCATTATCAAACGGAATCCAATGGAATCATTGAATGGACTCGAATGGAATCATCATCGAATGGAATTGAATGGAATCATCGAATGGAATGGAATGGAATCATCCTCGAATGGAATCTAATGAAATCACCGAATGGACACGAATGGAATCATCCAATGGATTTGAGTGGAATCATCATTGAATGGAATCGAATGGAATCATCAAATGGACTCGAATGGAATCATCTTCGAATGGAATCGAATGAAATCACAATCGAATGGAATGGAATGGAGTCATCATCTAATGGAGTCGAATGGAATCATCATTGAATATAATAGAATGGAGTCACCATATTGAATCAAATGGAGAGATCATCGAATGGAATTGAAGGGAATCATCGAATAGGAATGAAAGGAGTCATCAAATGGAATTGGGTGGAATCATCAAATGGATTCAAATGGAATGATCATCAAATGGAATTGAATGGTATCATCGAATGGACTCGAATGGAATCATCATCAAATGGAACCAAATGGAATCATCGAATGGACACGAATGCAATCATCATTGAGTGGAATCAAATGGAATCATTGAATGGCATCGAAAGGAATCATCATCGAATGTAGTCTAATTAAATAACCGAATGGACTCAAATAGAATCATCGAATCAAGTCGAATGGAATCATCATCGAATGGAATCCAATGGAATCATCGAATAGCATCAAATGGAATCATCGTCAAATGGATTCAAATGGAATCATCGAATGGACTCGAATGGAATCCTCATGGAATATAATCGAATGGAATCTTCGAATTGACTCGAATGGAATCATCATAGAATGGAATCTAATGGAATCATCGAATGGAATCGAATGGAATCATCATTGAATGGAATCGAGTAGAATCATTGAATGAAATCGAATGGAATCATCATCGAATGCAATCGGGTGGAATCATCAATGAATGGAATCGAATGGAATCACAGAATGGAATCCAATGTAATCATCTTCGAATTGAAAACAAAGCAATCATTAAATGTACTCTAATGGAATCATCGAATGGACTCGAATGGAACCATCGTTGAATGGAATATAATGGAATCATCGAATGCAATCGAATGGAATCATCGAATGGACTCGAATGGAATCATCATAGAATGGAATTGAAAGGAATCATCAAATGGACTTGAATGAAATCATTGAATGGACTCAAAAGGAATCATCATCGAATGGTATTGTATGGAATCGTTGAACTTACTCTAATGGGATAATCATTGAATGGAATTGAATGCAATCATTGAATGGAATAGAATGGAATCATCATTGAATGGAATCAAATGGAATCCTCAATGAATGGAATCGAATGGAATCATCATCGAATGGAATTGAACGGAAACATCAGCGAATGGAATCGAAAGGAATCATCATGGAATAGATTCGAATGGAATCATTGAATGGAATGGAATGGAATCATCATAGAAAGGAATCAAAGGGAATCATCGAATGGAATCAAACGGAATCATCGAATGGAATGGAATGGAATCATCATCGAATGGACTCAAATGGAATAATCTTCGAAAGGAATCGAATGGAATCGAATGGAACAATCAAATGGACTCCAATGGAATCATCTAATGGAATCGAGTGGAATCATCGAATGGACTCGAATGGAGTCATCATCCAATGAAATCGGATGGAATCAATGAAGGGACTCGAATGAAATCATGGAATGGACTCTAATGGAATCATCATCAAATGAAATTGAATGGGATCATCATCAAATGTAATTGAATGGTATCATTATCAAAAGAAATCCAGTGGAATCACCAAATGGACTCGACTGTAATGATTAAATGGACTCGAATGGAATCATCAAATGGAATCATCGAATGGACTCGAATGGAATTGTTGAATGGATTCGAATGGAGTCATTGAATGGACTCTAGTAGAATCATAATCAAATGGAATCAAATGGAATCATCAAATGGACTCGAATGGAATCATTGGATGTACTCGAATGAAATCATCGAATGGACTCGAATGGAATCATCATCGAATGGAATCAAATGGAATCCTCGAATAGAATCAGATGGAATCCTCAAATGGAATCGAATGTAATCATCATCAAATGGAATAGAATGGAGTGATCGAATGGAATCGATGGCAATCATCATCCACTGGAATCAAACGGAATCATTGAATGGAATCGAATGGAATCAATGTCAAGTGGAATCGAGTGGAATCATCGAAAGAAATCGAATGGAATCATTGTCGAATGGAATGGAATGGAATCAAAGAATTGAATTGAATAGAATCACCAATGAATTGAATCGAATGGAATCCTCATCGAATGGAATCGAAGGGAATCATTGGATGGGCTGAAATAGTATCATCATCTAATGGAATCATGTGGAATCATCTAAGGGACACAAATAGAATCATCATTGAATGGAATCGAATGGAATCATCTAATGTACTCGAATGGAATCACCATTGAATAGAATAGAATGGAATCATCGAATGGAATCGAATGGAATCATCATGATATGGAATTGAGTGGAATCATCGTATGGACTCGAATGTAATCATCAGAGACTGGAATCAAATGGAATCATTAAATGGACTCTAATGGAATCATCATCGATTGGAATTGAATGGAATCATTGAATGGACTCCAATGGAATCATCACCAAATATAATCAAAAGAAATCATCAAATGGATTCGAATAGAATCATCAAATGAACTCGAATGGAATCATCATCGAATGGAATCAAATGGAATCATCAAATGGACTCGAATGAAATCATCATCAAACGGAATCGAATGGAATCATTGAATGGAATGGAATGGAATCATCATGGAATGGAAACGAGTGGAATCACTGAATGGACTCGAATGGGATCATCATCAAATGGAATCGAATGGAATCATCTAATGAACTTGAAAGGAATCATCATCAAATGAAGTCAAATGGAATCACCAAATCGACATGAATGGAATCATCATTGAATAGAATCGAATGGAATGATTGAATGGGCTAGAATGGAATCATCTTTGAATGGAATCAAATGGAATCATCATCGAATGGAATCGAATGGAAATGTCAACCAATTGAATCAAATAGAATCATCATGGAATTGAATCGAATGGCTCACTGTCGAATCAAATCCAATGGAATCATCATCGTATGGAATTGAATGGAATCATTGAATGGAATTGAATGGAATCATCATTGAATGGAATCGAATGAAATCATCAACGAATGGAATCCAATGTAATCATCATAGAATTGAAACCAATGGATTCATTAAATGGACTCGAATGGAATCATCGAATGGACTCGAATGGAATCATCATCAAATGAAGTAGAATGCAATCATCAAATGGAATCGAATGGAATCATCATCGAATGGAATCTAATGGAATAATAGAATGAACTCGAATGGAAACATCGAATGGAGTTGAATGGAATCATCATCGAGTGAGATCGAATGGAATCATCGAATAACATCGAATGGAATCATCGTCGAATGGAGTCTAATGGAATCATCAAATGGACTCGAACGGAATTGTCATGGAATGTAATTGAATAGAATCTTCTAATGGACTCAAGTGGAATCATCATCGAAAGCAAGCGAATGGAATCATCATCGAATTTAATCGAATGGAGTCATCATCATATGGAATCGAGTGGAAGCATTGAATGGGCTCAAAAGAAATCATCAGAGAATGGAATTGAATGGAATCATCAAAAGGACTCGAATGGAATCATCATCAAGTGGAATCAAATGGAATCATCGAATGGACACGAATCAAATCATCGTTGAATGGAATCGAATGAAATCATCGAATGGACACGAAGGGAATCATTATCGAATGGAATTGAATGAAATCATAATCGAATGGAGTCGAATGGAATCATCATCGAATGGAGTTGAATGGAAACATCACTGAATGGAATCAAATGAAATCACCGAATTGAATCAAATGGAATGATCATCAAAGGGAATCAAAGGAAATCATCGAATGGGATCAAATGGAGTCATCGAATGGAATCAAGTGGAATCATCAAATGGATTTGAACAGAATCAACATCGAATGGAATCGAATGGAATCATCGAATGGACTCGAATGGAATCATCTAATGCACTCGAATGGAATAATCATCGAATGTAATCGAATGGACTCATCCAATGGAATCAAATGGAATCATCAAATGGAATCGAACGGAATCATCATCAAAAGGAACCGAATGGAATCATTGAATGGAATCAAAGGCAATCATGGTCGAATGGAATCAAATGGAAACATCATTGAATAGAATTGAATGGAATCATCACATGGAATCGAATGGAATCATCGTAAATGCAATCAAGTGGAATCATCGAATGGAATCTAAGGGAATCATCATCGAATGGAATGGAATGGAATCATTGAATGAAATTTAATGGAATCACCAATGAAAGGAATTGAACGGAATCATCGTCAAACGGAATCAAGTGGAATCATCGAATGGAATCAAATGGAATCATCATCGAATGGAATCAAAAGCAATTATTGAATGGACTCAAATAGAATCATAGAATGGACTTGAATGGAATAATCATCGAATGGAGTAGAATGGAATCACCGAAAGGATCCGAGTGGAATCATCATCGAATTGAATCGAATGGAATCATCGAATGGACCCGAATGGAATCATCATCGAATGGAATATAATGGAATCATCATCGAATGGAATCAAATGGAATCATCTAACGGACCTGGATGGAATCATCACTGAATGGAATAAAATGGAATCATAATCAAATGGAATCGAATGGTATCATCTAATGGACACGACTGGAATCACCATTGGATTGAATAGAATGGAATCATCACTGAATGGAATCGAATGCAAACATCATCGAATAGAATTGAATGGAATCATCAAATTGAATCGAATCGAATCATCATAAATGGAATCAAATGGAATCATCAAATGGAATCTAATGGAATCATTATCGAATGGAATGGAATAGAATCATTGAATGTAATTGAATGGAATCACCAATGAAGGGAATCGAGCGGAATCATCGTCAAATGGAATCAAGTGGAATCATCGAATGGAACCTAAAGGAATCATTGTCGAATTGAATGGAATGGAATCATTGAATGGAAATGAATGGAATCACCAATGAATGGAATCGAATGGAATCCTCATCGAATGGTTTCAAAAGGAATCATCAAATGGACTCAAATGGAATCATCATCAAATGGAAACATGTGGAATCATTGAATGAACTTGAAATGATTCATAATCGAAAGGAATCAAAATGAATCATCCTCAAATGGAATCACATGGAATCATCATGGAATAGAGTCATACAGAATCATCATCAAATGGAATTGAATGGAATCATCAATTGCACTCGAATGGAATCATCAAAAGAATCGAATGGAAGCATCGAATGGATTCGAATGGAATCATCATTGAATGGAATAGAATGGAATCATCGAAAGGACTCGAATCAAATCATCAAATGGACTCGAATGGAATCGTCATCGAAAGGAATTGAATAGAAACATCAGATGGAATCGAATGGAATCAACATCGAATGGAATCGAATGGAATCATAGAACAGTATTGAAATGAATCATCATCGAATGGAATCAAATGGAATCATCATCGAATGGAATCCAAAGCAATTATTGAATGGACTCAAATGGAATCATTGAATGGACTTGAATGGAATCAGTATCGAATGGAGTAGAATGGAATCACTGAATGGGCCCGAGTGGAATCATCATCGAATTGAATCGAATGGAATCATCAAATGGACCCGAATGGAATCATCATCGAATGGAATATAATGGAATCATCACTGAATGGAATCAAATGGAATCATCTAACGGACAGGGATGGAATCATCACTGAATGGAATAAAATGGCATCATAATCAAATGGAATCAAATTGAATAATCTATTGGACACGAATGGAATCATCATTGGATTGAATAGAGTGGGATCATCATCAAATGGAATCGAATGGAATCATCTAATGTAGTCGAATGGAATCATCATCTAATGGAATAGAATGGAATCATTGAATGGAATTGAATGGAGCAATCATCGTATGGAATTGAGTGGAATTATCGAATGGACTCGAAATTAATCATAGGAGAATGGAATCGAATGGAATCATCTAATGGACTCAAATGGAATCAACATCGAATTTAATATAATGGAATCATCATCGAATGGAATCAAATGGAAGCATCTAACGGACCCGAATGGAATCATCACTGAATGGAAAAAAAATGGAATCTACGTCGAATGGAATCAAACGAAATCATCTAATGGACACTAATGGAATCATCATTGGATTGAATAGAATGGAATCATCATCGAATGGAATTGAATGGAATCATCTAAAGGACACGAATAGCATCATCATTGCATGGAATTGAATGGAATCATCTAATGTACTCGAATGGAATCATCATCTCATGGAATAGAATTGAATCATCAAATGGAATCGAATGGAGTCATCATCATATGGAATCAAGTGGAATCATCGAATGGACTTGAAAGTAATCATCGGGGAATGGAATTTAATAGAATCATCAAATGGACTCGAATGGAATCATCATCGAATGGAATCAAAAGGAATCATGGAATGGACTTGAATGGAATCATTGAACGGACTCGAATGAAATCATCATCAAACGGAATCAAATGGAATAATCGAATGGACACGAATGCAGTCATCATCGAATGGAATCGCATGGAATCATCGAATGGAATCGAATGGAATCATAATTGAATGGAATCGAATGGAATCATCATTGAATGGAATCTAATGGAATCATCATCGTATGGATTCTAATGGAATTATCATCTAATGGAATCGAATGGAATCATCAATGAATGGAATCGAATGAAGAAATCGAATGGAATCCGTTGGAACCATCATAGAATGGAAATTAATGCCGTCATCATCAAATGCAATCGAATGCAATCATCATCGAGTGGAATCGAAAGAAATCATCATCGAATGGAATTGAAGGGAATCATCATCGAATGGAATAGAAAGGAATCATCATCGAATAGAATCCAATGGAATCATCGAATGGAATGGAATGGAATCATCATTGAAATAAATCGAAGGGAATCATCAAATGGAATTGAACGGTATCATCAAATGGAATTGAATGGAATCGTCATCGAATGGGATCAAATATAATCATCAAATGGACACGAATGGAATAATCGAATAGCTAGAATTAAATCATCGAATGCTATCGAATGGAATCATCGATTGGACTCTAATGGAAGCATCATCAAATGGAATCAGATGGAATCAATGAAGGAGCTCGAATGGAATCATCGAATGGACTCGAATTGAATCATCATTGAATGGAATCAAATGGAATCATCGAATGGACCTGAATGGAATCATCATCGAATGGAATACAATGAAATCATCATGGGATGGAATCGAATGGAATCATCACAGAATGGAATCGAATGGAATCATCGAATGGACTCGAATGGAATAATCGAATGGACTCGAATGGATTCATTGAATGGAATTGAATGGATTCATCAAATGGACTCGAATGGAATCATCATCGAATTGAATCGGATGGAATCAACGAAGGGACTCGAATGAAATCATCGAATGGACTCGAATTGAATCATCATCGAATTGAATCTTAAGGAATCATTGAATGGCCTCGAATGGAATCATCATTGAAATGAATCTAATGAAATCATCATCGGATGGAATCGAATGGAATCATCACTAAATGGAATAGAATGGAATCATCGAATGGAATCGAATGGAATCATCATTGAATGGAATAGAATGGAATCATCAAATGGAATTGAATGGAATCATCGAATGGAATTGAATGGAATCATCATTGAATGGAATCGAATGGAATCATCGAATGGAAACAAACGGAATCATCATCGAATGGAATCCAATGGAATTATCAAAAGAAATAGAATGGAATCATTATCGAATGGAGTAGAATGAAATCATCATCGAATGGAATCCAATGGAATCGTCAATGAAGGGAATCGAATGGAATCATCATCAAATGGAATCGAATGGAATCAACAACAAATGGAATCGTATGGAATCATTGAATGAAATCCAATGGAATCATTACCAAATAGAAACGAATGGAATCATCGAATGGACTTGAATGGAATCATCATCGAAGGGAATCTTATGGAATCATCGAATGGACTCGTATGGATTCATCATCGAATGAAATCGAATGTAATCATATAATGGAATCAAATGGAATCATCATTGAATGGAATAGAATAGAATCATCGGATGGAATCAAATGGAATCATCAATGAATGGAATCGAATGGAATCATTTAAAGAATTCGAATGGAATCTTCATCAAATGTAAACAAATGGAATCATCGATAGGACTCGAATTTAATCATCATCAAATGGAATTGGATGGAATCAATGAAGGCACTAGAATGGAATCATCGAATGGACTTTTATGGAATCATCATCGAATGGAAACGAATGGAAACATGGAATGGAATTGAATGGAATCATCATCGCATGGAATCAAATGGAATCATCGAATGGAATTGAATGGAATCATCCAGTGGAACCGAATGCAGTCATCCTCGAATGGAATTCAATGCAATCTTGAATGGACTCGATTGGGATCATCATTGAATGGAATCGAATGGAATCATTGAATGGACTCAAATGCAATCATCGAATGGACTTGAATGGAATCATCATCTAATGGAATAGAATGGAATCATCGATTGGACAAGAATGGAATCATCATCAAATGGAATCGAATGGAATCATCAAATGGATTCGAATGGAATCATCATTGAATGGAATCATTTGGAATCATTGAATGATCTCGAAATAAATCATAATCAAATGTTACTGAAAGAATCATCATCGAATGGAATCATGGAATGGAATCCAATGGAATCATCTTCGAATAGAATTGAATGGAATCATCGAGTGGACTAGAATGCAGTCATCATCAAATGGAATCGAATGGAATCATCAAATAGAATCGAATGTAATCGTCATTGAATGAAATCGCATTGAATTATCAAATGGACTCGAATGGAATCATCGTCGAATGGAATCCAATGGAATCATCTACTGGACTAAAATGAAATCATCATCGAATGGAATGGAATAACCAAATGGATTCTAATGTAATCATCATCGAATGAAATAGAAAGGAATAATCGAATGGAATCATCATCAAATGGAATTGAATGGAATGATCTAACTGACTCGAATGGAATCATTGTCGAATGGAATCAAAAGGAAACATTGAATAGACACGAATTGAATCATTATGGAATGGAGTCGAATGGAGTCATCATCAAATGGAATCGTATAGAATCCTCATCAAATGGAATTGAATAGAATCATCGAATGTAATAGAATAGAATAATGTTCGAATGGAAACAAAATGAATCATCAAATGAAATCAAATGGAATGATCATCAAATGGAATCGAATGGAATCATCATCAAATGGAATCAAACAGAATCATCATCAATTGGAATGGAATGGAATCATTGAATGGATTTGAACGGAATCATCATTGAATGGAATCGAATCTAATCTTCGAATGGACTCGAGTGGAATTATGATAGAATGGAATCGAATGTTGTCTTCGAATGCACTCGAATGGAATAATCATCGAATGCAATCAAAGGGAATCATCATCGAATGGAATCGATTGGAATCATCATCAGATGGAATTGAATGGAATCCTCGAATGGAATAGAATTGAATCAACATTGAATGGAATCGAAGAGAATCATCAAATGAAATCGAATGGAATCATCATCGAATGGAATCGAATGGAATCATCATCGAATGGAATCAAATCGAATCATCATCGAATGGAATCAAATGGAATCATCAAAGAATGGAATCAAATGGAATCGTCATTGACAGGAATCAAATGGAATAATCACCGAATGGAATCACAAGGATCATTGAATGGAATCCAATGTAATCATCATTGAATTGAACCTAATGGAATCATTACATGGAGTCGAATGCAATCATCGAATAGACTCAAATGTAATCATCATTGAATGGAATAGAATGGAATCATCAAACGGAATCAAATGGAATCATCATCAAATAAAATCCAATAAAATCATCGAATGGTCTCAATTGGAATCATCATCCAATGGAATCAAATGTAATCATCGAATGGACACGAATGGAATCACCATTGAATGGAATCAAATGGTATCATCGAATCGACTCTAATGGAATCATCATCAAATGGAATCGAAAGGAATAATCAAATGTATTTGAATGGAATCATCGAATGGACTCGAATGGAATCATCACCAAATGGAATCGAATGGTATCACCAAATAGAATCAAACGTAATAATCTTCAAATGAAATTGCATTAAATCATGGAATGGACAAGAATGGAGTCATCATCAAATGGAATCAAATGGAATCATCGAATAGACTCATATATAATAATCATCGAATGGAATGGAAAGGAGTCATCAAACGAAATCAATGGAATCATCATCGAGTGAAATCAAATGGAATAATTGAATGGCACAAAATGGAATCATCATCGAATGGAATCATCTAAAGGACACGAATGGACTAATCATTGAATGGAATCGAAAGGAAACATCGAATGGACACAAATGGAATCATCACCGAATGGAATTGAATGGAATCATCATGAAATCGAATCAAATAGGATCGTCATCGAATGAAATCGAAAGGAATCATCACTGAATGTAATTGAATGGAATCATCATTGAATGTAATTGAATGGAATCATAATTTAAAGGAATCGAATGGATTCATCATCAAATGGAACCAAACAGAGTCATCATCGAATGGAATTGAATGGAATCGTAATCAAATGGAATCGAATGGAATCATCAAATGGAAACGAATGCAATCATCGACTGTGCTTCAATGGAATCATCATGGAATGGAATCGAATGCAATCATCGAATGGGCTCGAATGGAATCATCATCAAATGGAAACAGATGGAATCATAGAATGGACTTGAATGGAATTATCGAATGGACTCGAATGGAATCATCATTGAATGGAATTGAATGGAATCATCGAAAGGTCTGAAATGGAATCATTACCGAATGGAATCGAATGGAATCATCAAATGGAATCGAATGGAATCATCATCGAAAGGAATTGAATAGAATCGGCATCGAATAGGATAGAATGGAATCATCATCGAATGGAATTTTCATCAAATGGAATCGAATGGAATCATCATTGAATAGAATCGAATGGGATCATCGAATAAATCGAACAGAATCTTCATCAAAAATAATCGAATTAAAACAAATAATGGAATACAACATACTCATTGAATGGAATCGAATGGAATCATCATTGAAATGAGTTGAATGGAATCATCATCAAATGGAATCATATAATGGACTTGAATGGAATCATCGAATGTACTCGAATGGCATCATCATGGAATGGAATCATATGAAATCATGGAATGCACTCGAATGGAATCATCGAATGGACTCAAATGGAATCAACGTCAGCTGGAATCGAAAGGAAATATCGAATGGACTCGAATGGAAACATCATTGAATGGAATCTAATGGAATCATCGAATGGACTCGATTGGAATCATCATCGAATGGAATCAAATGGAATCATCAAATGGAATTGAATGGAATCATCATCGAATGGAATCAATTGGAATCATCAATGAATGGAATCGAATGGAGTCATGGAATGGAGTCCGTTAAAATCATCATCGAATGGAACCGAATGCAGACAACATCAACTGGAATCAAATGGAATAATCGAATGGACGTGATGGAATCATCATTGAATGGAATCAGAAAAAGTCATTGAAAGGACTAGAATGGAATTATCATCGAGTGGAATCGAATGGAATCATCGAATGGACTCGAATGGAATCATCATCGAATGGAATCAAAAGGAATCATCCAATGGACTAGAATGGAATCATTAAATGTACTCGAATGGAATCATCATCGAATGGAATCAAAAGAAATCATCCAATGGACTTGAATGGAATCATTGAATGTACTCAAATGGAATCATCATCGAATGCAAGCGAATGGAATCATCCAATGGACCCGAATGGTATCACAATTGAATGGAATCAAATGGAATCATTGAATGGAATCATCATCAAATGGAGTCCAATGAAATCATCAAATGGACTTGAATGGAAACATCATAGAATGGAATTGAATGGAATCATCATTGAATGGAATCAAATAGTATCATCGAATGCACTCGAATGGAATCATCAATGAATGTTATCATCGAATGGAATCAGGTGGAATAATCTTCAATTGGCATCAAAATAAATCACTGAATGGTCTTGAATGGAATAATCATCGAAAGGAATCGAATGGAATCATCGAATCAAATCGAACAGAATGATCGTCAAATGGAATCGAACAGAATCATTGATCGGACTCAAATAAAATCATCATCGAATGGAATCAAATTGAATCATCATCAAATGGAATCAAAAAGGATCAACACCAAATGGAGTCGAATGGAATCATCATCAAATGGAATCCAAAGGAATAATCATCGAATGGAACTGAATGGAATCATCATCGAATGGAAATGAAAGGAGTCATCATCAAGTGGAATTGCATGGAATCGAATGGAATCATCATCAAATGGAATCTGATGGAACCATCGAATGGAATTGAATGGAATCATCATCGAATTAATTGAATGATATCATCGAATGGTCTCGAATGGGATCATTATCTAATCGAATCGAAAGGAATCATCAAATGGATTCGAATTGAATCATCGAATGGACTCGAATGGAATCATCGAATGCACTCAAATGGAATCATCATCAAATGGACTTAAATGGAATGATAAAATGGACTCGAATTGAATCATCGATTGGACTCAAATGGAGTTATCAAATGGGCGCGAATGGAATCATCAAATGGACTCGAATGGAATCATTATCGAATGGAATCAAATGGAATCATCGAATGGAATCTAATGGAATCATTGAATGAAATCGATTGGAATCATCATGAAATGGAATCAGGTGGAATCCTAGAATGGAATTGAATGCAGTCATCATCAAATGGAATCAAATGGAATCATCGTAGAATAGAATCAAACTGAATCATCAAATGGAATCGAATGCAATCGTCGTCGAATGTATTCGAATGGAATCTTCAAATAGAATCTAATGGAATCATTGAATGGAATTGAAAGGAATCAGCATCAAACGAAATCGAATGGAATCATCATTGAATAGAATCAAATGGAATCATTGAATGGATTCACCATCAAATGGAGTCCAAAGGAATCATCAAATGTACTCGAATGGAATCATCGACTGGACTCGAATGGAATCAGTGAATGGACTCGAATGGAATCATCATGCAATGGAATCAAATGAAATCATCCTCAAATGGAATTGAATGGGATCATCACTGAAAGGAATCGAATGGAATCATCAAATTAAACCAGATGGAATCATCACCGAATGGAATCGAATGGAATCATTGAATGAAATCAAATGGAATCATCATCAAATGGAGTCGAATTAAATCATCATCGAATGGAATCCAATGGAATCATCAATGAAGGGAATCGAATGGAATCATCATCGAATGGAATCAAATGGAATCATCAATGAATGGAATCTAATGGAATCATCGAATGAAATCTAATGGAATCTTCATCAAATGAAATCTTATGGAATCATCGAATGGACACACATGGAATCATCATTAAAAGAAATTGAATGTAATCATAGAATGAAATCGAATGGAATCATCATTGAATGGAATCGAATAGAATCATCGAATGGAATCAAATGGAATTATCAAATAATGGAATCGAATGGAATCATTTAATTGACTCGAATGGAATCTTCATCGAATGTAATCGAATGGAATCATCGAATGGACTCAAATGGAAACATCATCGAATGTAATCTAACGGAATCATGGAATGGAATCAAATGGAATCATCATCGCATGGAATCAAATGGAATCATCAAATGGAATCAAGTGGAATCATCGAATTGTACCGAATGCAATCATCCTCGAATGGAATCGAAAGGAATCATCGAATGGACTCAAATGGAATCATCATCAAATGGAATCAAATGGAATCATCGAGTGGACTCGAATGCAATCATCCAATGGACACGAATGGAATCATCATTGAATGGAATAGAATGGAATCATCGAACGGACTCGAATGGAATTATCATTGAATGGAATCAAATGGAATCATCGAACGAATTTGAATGGAATCATCATCGAATGGAATGGAATCTCATCATCGAATGTATTCGAATGTAATCATCATTGAATGGAATCATGTGGAATCATCGAATGAACTCGAAATGAATCATAATCGAATGCAATCGTAAGGCATCATCATCGAATGGATTCACATGGAATCATCATCGAATGGAATCATACGGAATCATCATAGAATGGAATTGAATGGAATGATCAGTTGGACTCGAATGGAATCATCAAATGGACCCAAAGGGAAGCATCGAATGGACTCAAACAGAATCATCATTGAATGGAATCAAATGGAATCATGGAAAGGACTTGAATCGAATCATCAAATGGACTTGAACTGAATCATTATAGAATGGAACTGAAAAGAGTCATTGGATGGACTTGAATGGAATCATCTTTAAATGGAATCGATTGGAATCATCCAATGCACTCGAATGGAATCATCATCATATGGAATTTAATGGCGTCATTGAATGGACTCAAATGGAATCATCATCAAATGGAATCCATAGGAATCATCGGATGGAATCAAATGATATTATCGAATTGAATCAAATGGAATCATCTTTGAATGGAATCGAATGGAATCATCGAATGCAATCGAAGGCAGTCATCATTGAATGGAATCAAATGGAATCATCTAATGGAATCAAACAGAATCATCATTGATTAGAATCGAATGGAATGGTTATCAAATGGAATCCAATGAAGTCATCAACGAATGGAATCTAATGGAGTCATCATCTAAAGGAATTGAATGGAATCAGCAAGGAATGGAATCGAATGGAGAAATCGAATGTAATCCTTTGGAATCATCATTGAATGAAAACAAATGTAGTCATCAGAGAATGGAATCGAATGGAATTAATGAAGGGACTCGAATGGAATCATCATTGAATTGAATCGGATGGAATCATCGAATGGACTCGAATGGAGACATCATCGAATGGAATCGAATGGAATCATCGAATTGACTCTAATGGAATCATCATTGAATGGAATCAAATGGAATCGAATGGAATCATAGAATGGACTCTAATGGAATCATCATGGAATGGAATTGAACGGAATCACCAAATGAACTCGAATGGAATCATTGAATGGACTCGAATGGAATCATTATTGAATGGAATCGAGTGAAATCCTCAAATGGAATCAAATGGAATCATCAATTGGAATTGAACGGAATCATCATCAAATGGAATTGAATGGAATCATCTAATGGAATCGAACACAATCAACATTGAATGATTTGAATGGAATCATCATCGAATAGAATCAAATGGAATCATCAAATAGAATCGAATGGAATCATTGTCGAGTTTAATCGAGTGGAATCATCGAATGGAATCGAGTGGAATCAATGTCGATTGGAATGGAATGGAATCAATGAATGAAAATGAATGGAATCACCATTTAATGGAATCAAATGGAATCATCATCGAATGGAATTGAATGGAATCATCAAATGGACTAGAATGCAATCATCATTGAATGGAATCACATGGAATCATCATCGAATGGAATCATACGGAATCATCATCGATGGGAATTGAAGGGAATGAAAAATTGGACTCGAATAGAATCAACAAATGAACTCGAATGGAAGTGTCAAAAGGACTCAAATGGAATAATCATAGAATGGAATTGAAAGGAATCATCTAATGGACTAGAATGGAATAATCATCGCATAGAATTGAATGGAATCATAGAATGGACTCGAATGGAGTCATCATCAGAGGGAATCAAATGGAATCATTGAATAAAATCAAATGTAATCGTCATAAAATGAAATTGCATTGAAACATCGAATGGAAACGAATGGAGTCATCATCGAATGGAATCGAGTGGAATCATGGAATGGACTCGAATGGAATAATCGAATGGAATGGAAAGGATTCATCAAAAAGAAATCACTGGAATCATCATCAAATGAAATCAAATGGAATAATCAAATGACACCGAGTGGAATCATCATTGAATAGAATCAAATGGAATCATCCGATGGACTCAAATGGAATAATCACCAATTGGAATCGAATGGAAACATCGAATGGACACAAATGGAATCATCACTGAATGGAAAGAATGGAATCATCATCGAATGGAATACAATGGAATCATCATCGAATGGAATACAATGGAATCATCATCGAATGTAACTGAATGAAATCATCATTGAAAGGAATCGAATGGATTCATCATCAAATGGAACTGAACAGAGATAGAATTGAATGGAATCGTAATCAAATGGAATTGAATGGGATTATTAAATGAACTCTAATGCAGTCATCGACTGGGCTTCAATGGAATCATCATGGAATAGAATCAAATGGAATCATCGAATGGACTCGATTGGAAGCATCATTGAATGGAATCAGATGGAATCATCGAATGGTTTTGAATGGAATCATCGAATGGACTTGAATGGAATCATCATGGAATGGAATTCAATGGAATCGTCGAATGGTTTCGAATGGAACCATCATCGAATGGAATCGAATGGAATCATCGAATGGAATTGAATGGAATCAAATAGAGTCGGCATCAATTAGAATTGAATGGAATCATCATTGAATGGAATCGAATGGAATTTTGATCAAATGGAATCGAATGGAGTCATCATTGAATAGAATCAAATGGAATCATCATTGAATGGAATCGAATGGAATTTTGATCAAATGGAATCGAATGGAGTCATCATTGAATAGAATCAAATGGGATCATCAAATGAAATCGAATGGAATCATCATCAAAAAGAATCGAAGTAAAACAAAGAATGGAATACAACAGACTCATTGAATGTAATCGAATTGAATCATCATTGAAAGAACTCGAATGGAGTCATCATCGAATGGAATCGAATGGAATCATTTAATGTACTCGAAAGGAATCATCAAATGGAATCGAATGGAATCATCATAGAATGGAATCGAATGAAATCATGGAATGCACTCGAATGGAATCATTGAATGCACTCAAATGGAATCAATGTCGAGTGGAATCGAAAGGAAACATCGAATGGACTCGAATGGAATCATCATCGAATGGACTCAAAAGGAATCATCATCGAATGGAATCAACTCGAATTATTGAATTGAATCTAATAGAATCATCATTGAATGGAATCGAATTGAATCATCATCAAATGGAGTCGAATGGAATCATCATATAATGGAATCGAATGGAATCATCATCGAATGGACTCGAATGGAATCATCATCAAACGGAATCAAGTGGAAACATTGAATGGAATCATCATTGAATGGAATCAAATTGAATCATCATCAAATGGAATCTAATGGAATCATCTTATCATGGAATCGAATGAAATCATCATCAAATGGAATCAAATGGAATCATCAATGAATGCAATCAAAAGGAGTCATCAAATGGCGTCCGTTGGAATCATCATTGAATGGAACTGAAGGCAGTCATCATTGACTGGAATCAAATGGAATCATCGAATGGACTCGATGGAATCATCATCTCATGGAATCAAATGGAATCATTGAATGGACTGGAATGCAATCATCGAATGGACTCGAAGGGAGTCATCATCAAATGGAATAGAAAGGAATCATCGAATGGACTCGAAGGGAATAATCATCGAGTGGAATTGAATGGAATATTCGAATTGACTGGAATGGAATCATCATCGAATGGAATCGAAAGGAATCATCAAGTGGACTTGAATGGAATCACTGAATGTACTCAAATGGAATCATCATCAAATGCAAACGAAAGGAATGATTGAATGGACCCAAATGGAATCACCATCGAATGGAATTGAATGGAATAATCATCGAATGGAATCGAATAGTATCATCAAATGCACTCGAATGGAATCGTCAATGAATGGTATCAAATGGTATCATCGAATGGAATCGAATGGAATCATCTTCAATTGGCATTGAAATAAATCACGGAATGGACTCGAATGGAATAATCATCGAAAGAATTGAATGGAATCATCGAATGGAACCAAATGGAATCATCATCGAATGGAAACGAGTGGAATCATCGAATGTACTTGAATGGAATCATCATCGAATGGAATCAAATTGAACCATTTGAACCATCATCGAATGGAATTGAAAAGAATCAACATCAAATGGAGTCGAATGGAATCATCATCAAATGGAATCCAAAGGAATCATCATCGAATGGAAACGAAAGGAGGTATCATCGAATGGAATGCCATGGAATCATCATCGAATGGAATCGAATGGAATCATCATCAAATGGAATCTAATGGAATCATTGAATGGAATTGAATGGAATCATCATCAAATTAATTGAACGGAATCATCGAATGGTCTCGAATGGAATCATTATCAAATGGAATCATAAGGAATCATCGAATGGGCTCGAAAGGAATCATTGAATGGACGCAAATGGAATCATCATTGAATGGACTCAAATGGAATCATCGAACGGACTTGAATGGAATCATCGATTGGACTCAAATGGAATTATAGAATGGGCTCGAATGGAATCATCGAAAGAAGTCGAATGGCATCATTATTGAATGGAATCAAATGGAATCATTGAATGGAATCAAATGGAAACATCGAATGGAAATGATCAGAATCATCATCAAATGGAATCAAATGAAATCATCGAATGGAATCGAATGCAGTCATCATTGAATGGAATCGAATGGAATCATCAATGAATAGAATCGAATTGAATCATCGAATGGAATCGAATGGAATCATCGTTGAATGTAATCGAATGGAATCTTCAAATGGAATCAAATAGAATCATCGAATTGAATTGAAAGGAATCAGCATCGAACGAAATTGAATGGAATCATCATTGAATAGAATCGAATGGAATCATTGAATGGAATCATCATCAAATGGAGTCCAATGGAATCATCAAATGGACTCAAAAGGAATCATCGAAGGGAGTCGAATGGAATCATCGAATGGAGCCGAATGGAATCATCATCGAATGGAATCAAATGAAATCATCATCAAATGGAATCGAATGGAATAATCACTGAATTGAATCAAATGGAATCATTGAATGAAATCAGATGGAATCATCATCAAATGGAATCGAATAGAAACATCGAATGAAATCGAATTGAATCATCACTCAACGGACTCGAATGGAATCATCATCAAATGGACTCGAATGGAATCATTGTTGAATGGAATCGATTGGAAGCATCATCGAATGGAATCGAATGAAAACATCATCGAATTGAATCAAATGGAATCATCATGGAATTGAATCGAATGGCTCGTGATTGAATCAAACCAAATGGAATCATCATCGAATCGATTCAAATGGAATCATCGAATGGAATTGAATGGAATCATCATCGAATGGAATCGAATGGAACCATCAAATGAAATGGAATGGAATCATCAGCGAATGGAGTCAAATGGAATCATCATAGAATGGAATCTAATGGAATTATCAATGAAGGGAATCGAATGGAATCATCATAGAATGGATTCAAGTGGAATCATGAACGAATGGAATCGAATCAAATCATTGAATGGAATCCAATGGAATCATCATCAAATGGAACCAAATGGAATCATTGAATGGACTCAAATGGAATCATCATCAAATGGACTCGAATGGAATCATCATCAAAAGGAATCGAATGGTGTCATCGAATGGAATCAAATGGAATCATGGAATGGACTCGAAAGGAATCATCGAATGGAATCGAATGGAATGATCATTGAATGGAATCGAATGAAACCATCGAATGGAATCGAATGGAATCATCATCGAACGAAATCAAATGTAAACATTGAATGGAATCAAATGGAATCATCATCAAATGGAAACGAATGGAATCATTGAATGGATTCAAATGGAAACATCAATGAATGGAATCATCGAATGGCATCAAATGAAGTCATCATCAAATGGAATCGAATGGAATCATCAAATGGATGCAAATGGAATCATCATCGAATGCAATCAAATGTAATTATCGTATGGACACCAATGGAATCATCATTGAATGGAATCGAATGGAATCATCAAATGGAATAGAATGGAGTCATCATCAAATGACATCGAATGGAAACATCGATTGGAATAGAATGGAATCATCATCGAATGGAAACGAACAGAATCATCAAATGAAATCGAATGGAATCATCATCGAATGGAGTTGAATGAAATCATCATTGAAAGGAATCCAATGGAATCATGAATGAAGGGAATCGAATGGAATCATCATCGAATGGAATCAAATGGAATCATGAAGGAATGGAATAGAATGGAATCATCGAACGGACACGAATGGAATCATCATCAAATGGAAACGAATGAAATCATCGAATGGACTCGAATGGAATCGTCATCGAATGGACTCAAATGGAATCATCATCGAATGGAATCGAATGGTGTCATCGAATGGACTCAAATGGAATCATCGAATGGACTTGGATGGAATCATCGAATGGAATCAAACAGAATCATCAAGGAGTGGAATTGAATGGAATCATAGAATGGAATCCAATGTAGTCATCTTCGAATTGAACCCAACGGGATCATTAAATGGACTCGAATGGAAGCATCAAAAGGACTCAAATGGAATCATCATTAAATAGAATAGAATGGAATCGTCGTATGCAATCGAATGGAATCATCGAATGGACTTGAATGGAATCAACATCGAATGGAATCGAATGGAATCACGGAATGGACTCGAATGGAATCTTCATCGAATGGAATTGAAGGGAATCATCAAGTGGACTTGAATGGAATCATTGAATGGACTCGATTGGAATCATCATCGAATGGTGTTGAATGGAATCATTGAATTTACTCGAATGGAATAATCATCAAATGGAACCGAATGGAAACATCGAATGGAATCGAATGGAATCATCATTGAATGGAATCGAATGCAATCGTCTTCGAATGGAATCGAATGGAATCATCATCGAGTGGAATCTAATGGAATCATCATGTAATGTAATCGAATGCAATCATCAACAAATGGAATCAAATGGAGAAATTGAATGGAATCCTTTGGAATCATCATCTAATGGAACCTAATGCAGTCGTCATCAAATGGAATCGAATGGAATCATCAGCAAATGGAATCGAAAGGAATCATCATGGAATAGAATCAAATGGAATCATTGAATGGAATGGAATGGAATCATCATGGAAAGGAATCGCAGGGAATCATTGAATAGAATCGAACGGAATTATTGAATGGAATTGAAGGGAATGATCATCGAATGGACTCAAATAGAATTATCATCAAAAGGAATTGAATGGAATCGTCGATTGGACTCTAATGGAATAATCGGATGGACTCCAATGGAATAATCGGATGGACTCCAATGGAATCATCAAATGGAATCAAGTGGAATCATCGAATGGACTCGAATGGAAACATCCTCAAATGAAATTGGATAGAATCAATGAAGGGTCTCGAATGGAATCATCGAAAGGACTCGAATGTAATCATCATTGAATGGAATCGAATGAAATCATCGAATGGACTCGAATGGAATCATCATCAAATGTAGTTGAATGGGATCATCATGAAATGGAATCGAATGGGATCATCATCAAAAATCCAATGGATTCACAGAATGGACTCGAATGTAATGATCAAATGGACTCGAATGGAATAATCAAATGGAATCTAATGGAATCATTGAATGGATTCGTATGGAATTATCGAATGGACTTGAATGGAGTCATCGAATGGACTCTAATGGAATCATAGTAAAATGGAATATTATGGAATCATCAAATGGACTCGAATGTAATCATTGAATGTACTTAAATGAAGTCATCGAATGGACTCGAATGAAATTATCATCCAATGAAATCGAATGGAATCCTCGAATAGAATCAGATGGAATTATCAAATGGAATCAAAAGGAATCATCATCAAATGGAATCGAATGGAATCAAAGGCAACCATCATGGAATGGAATCAAATGGAATCATGGAATGGAATCGAATGGAATCATCGTCAAGTGGAATCGAGTGGAATCATCGAATGGAATCATTGTCAAATGGAATGGAATGGAATCAGTGAGTGGAAATGAATGGAATCACCAATGAATGGAATCGAATGGAATCATCATTGAATGGAATCAAATGGAATCATTGAATGGACTTAAATAGTATCATCATCAAATGGAATCGGGTGGAATCATCTAATGGGCACGAATAGAATCATCATCGAAGGGAATTGAATGGAATCATCTAACTTACTCAAATGGAATCATCATTGAATGGAATAGAATGGAATCATCGAATGGAATTGAACGGAATCATCATCGTATGGAATCGAGTGGAATCATCGAATGGACTCGAAAGTAATCATCGGAGAATGGAATCAAATAGAATCATCAAATGGACTCGAATGGAATCATCATCCAATGGAAAGAATGGATTCATAATCCAATGTAATTGAATAGAATCATCATCGGATGGAATCATGCAAGGTTATAGAATTGAATCTTCATCGAATGCAATCAAATATAATCATTGAATGAAATTGAATGGAATCATCATCGAATGGAATCATCAACGAAAGGAATCAAATGGAATCATAGAATGGAATCCAATGTAATCATCATCGTATTGAACTCAATGGAATCATTAAATGTACCCAAATGGAATCATTGAATGGACTCGAATGGAATCATCATCAAATGGAATCGAATGGAATCATTCAGTGGACTCGAATGGAATCATCATCGAATGGAATCGAATGGAATCATCAAATGGACTCGAATGGAATCATCATCGAATGGACTCAAATGGAATGATTGAATGGATTCGAATGGAATCATGGATTGTACTCAAATGGAATTAACGAATGGGCTCAAATGGAATCATCGAATGGACTCGAATGGAATCATTATGAAATGGAATCAAATGGAATCATCAAATGAATCGAATGGAATCATCGAACGTAATCGATCGCCATCATCATGAAATGGAATCAAATGTAATCATCAAATGGAATCGAATGCAGTCATCATTGAATGAAATCGAATGGAATCAACATCGAATAGAATTGAATGGAATCATCGAATGGAATCAAATGGAATCATCCTCAAATGTAATCGAATAGAATCATCGAATGGAATCAAATGGAATAATCAAATGGAAGTGAATGGAATCAGCATTGAATGATATCAAATGGAATCATCATCGAATAGAATCGAATGGAATCATCATCAAAAGGAGTCAAATGGAATCATCAAATGGACTTGAATGTAATCATCATAGAATGGAATTGAATGGAATCAAGTGAAATCGAATGGATTCACCATTGAATGGAATCAATTGGTATCATGGAATGCACTCAAATGGAATCATCAACGAATGGTATCGAATGCTGTCATCAAATGGAATCGAATGGAATCATCTTCAGTTGGAATCAAAAGGAATCACCGAATGGACTCGAATGGAATAATCATCGAAATGAATCAAAAGGAATCATTGAATGGAATCGAATGGAATCATCATCAAATAGAATTGAATGGAATCATCGAATGGACTCGAATGGAATCATCCTCGTATGGAATCGAATGGAATCATCGAATGGAATCGAATGGAATCATCATCGAATGGAATAGAAAAGAATCAACATCAAATGGAGTCAAAAGGAATCATCGAATGGAATGGAATGGGATCATCATCGAATGAATTGAATGGAATCATTGAATGGTCTCGAATGGAATCAATATCAAGTGGAATCGAATGGAATCACCGAATAGAATCGAATGGAATAGTCATCGAATGGAATAGTCATCGAATGGAATCGAATTTAATCATTGAATGGAATCCAATGGAATCATCATCAAATGGAATCGAATAGAATTGGCATCAAATAGAATTGAATGGAATCATCATCAATGGAATCGAATGGAATTTTCTTCAAATGGAATCGAATGGAAACATCATCAAATAGAATCGAATGTGATCATCGAATGAAACTCAATGGAATCAATTAATGGTCTCGAATGGAATCATTGAGTGGACTCAAATGGATTCATCGAATGGAATCTAATGTAATCATCATCGAATGAAATCAAATGGAATCATCAAATGGAAACGAATGCAATCATCATCGAATGGAATCGAATGAAATCATGGAATGCACTTGAATGGAATCATCGAATGGACTCAAATGGAATCAACATTGAGTGGAATTGAAAGAAAACATCAAATGGAGTTGAATGGAATAATCAAATGGAATCATCATCGATTGGAATAGAATGGAATCAGCGAACGGACCCGAAAGGAATCATCATCTAATGTAATCAAATGGAATCATCGAATGGAATCCAATGGAATCATCATTGAAAGGAATCGAATGGAATCATCATCGAATGGAATCGAATGGAATCATCATCGAATGGAATCGAATGGAATCATCATCGAATGGAATCGAATGGAATCATCATCAAATGGAATCGAATGGAATCATCAATGAATGGAATCGAATGGAGTCATCGAATTGAGTCCGTTAGAATCATCATCAAATGGAACCAAATGCAGTCATCATCTAATGGAATCAAATGGAATCATCGAATGGACTCGATGGAATCATCATCACATGGAATCAAATGGAATCATCGAAAGGACTCAAATGGAATCATCATTGAATGGAATCGAATGGAATCATCGATTGGACACGAATGGAAGCACCATCGAATGGAATAGAATGGAATCTTCGAATGAAGTCGAATGAAATTATTGAATGGAATCAAATAGTATCATCATTGAATAGAATCGAATTGGATCATCATCAAATGGAATCTAATGAAATCATCATCGAATGGAATCTAGTGGAGTCATCATCTAATGGAATTGAATTGAATCAGCAAGGAATGGAATCGAATGGTGAAATCGAATGGAATCCATTAGAATCATCATCGAATGGAACCGAATGCGGTCATCATAGAATGGAATTGAATGGAATCAATGAAGGGACTCGAATTGTGTCATCATTGAATGGAATCGGATGGAATCATTGAATGGACTCGAATTGAATCATTTAATCAACTCGAATGGAATCATCATCGAATGGAATCGGGTGGAATCCTCGAATGGAATCAAATGGAATCATCAAATGCAATCGAACAGATTTATAAGAAACTTACTTGAACCAAAAAATAGAAAAACAAACAAACCAAACCCCCTAAATCTGTGATGAGCAAAGTAGACATCACAACAGGAAATATCACTGGGGATGAAGAATAACATTTCAAAATGACACCAAGAAGTCATGTAAATAAGAAGTATGTATGCACACAATAGCATTACTTCAAAATACATAATATAAAACGTATTAAAACTGAAATGTAAAATAGTAAAGCCACAGTCATCCATGGGGATTTCAACAGTCTCCTGCCAGAAATTTTTAAATTTTGTTAAACGAAAAGTTGGTAATGGTAGAGAGGATCTTATAAATATAATTAGCCAACTTGATCTAATTGAATATTTTAGAATAATCTAAGGATAAGGAATGAGGTAGCAGAGAAAGAAAAGGCAGACATCAACGTGACATTAGTGTTTCAAGGCTATGAGAATACACCAATAATGGTGTGTGTGTGTGTGCAGACGGTAAGCTCAATCTTAAAAATATTGAGCTTTAACTGACAATTCATTATTAGGAAAGATAAGAGGAAATGATATTTAGTGAGAGGCTATATGACTGAACTCTAAGAGAAAGGTCACAGCAGAAATTGTGTACTTGACAGCTCTATAAGGAGGTCAGTCAAAAATAAGTCAGTGATGAATTCTCTGGAGTAAAAGCAGAGGAATGAGGATTAGATTGAAAACACATGGAAGCAGAGTGACTTATGATAAAAATATGAGCTTGAAAATCCTGCAGAGAGGGCTTTAAATCCTGGGTATGATATTCTGCTTGTGTAGACAATAGTGATAAAAACACAACAACAAAGAGAGGTAAAGAGCACTTTCCTTTGATATAAGTAAAGGGCACGTCTTATTGCACATATATATATATATATATATATATGTATGTATGTATACATAGGTATTCAACTGAGATTCAACATGTTTCTCTCATTGAAACAGCAAGCTCTCCAGGCCTTCATGTTCCCAGTGAGGTAGGTAAACTTCTGATGATTATACTCACCCTCCCTCATTGCAAAGCTCCCATTGTTATTGTCTTGGCTCTGGATTCCCTCAAAAATAGACTATGAAACAAATATCTGGGGTCAGATACTTTAATCAGAAATTGAGTGAGAAAGCACACAAGTGGAGAAAATGAAACAGAACATGAAGCCAGTGTGAATGAGTAGTTACTGCTGTGCTCAGTAATGATGGAGGTATGGAGATTGTCTCAAAATAACTTTACAAAGAGATGGGGATGCTGGAATCCCCATCTCTTATTGCTTAAGGATTGCCTTAGAATCATTAACTCTCCACCCCAACTCCTTCTTTTTTCCTATGTGTGGTTGAGAAGCACTGGTTAGCCTCAAGAAGCTTGCAGGCAGGCCCAAAAATCAGAAAGACAGGCATGATGTGGGGAGCTCTCAGTTAGCTGGAAACAGGTGAATTTCAGGTGAACACATTGAGTCCAGGACATAGAAGACAAGTCATCAGCAATATCTGCTATAGCCAGTTTTCTTTTTCTTTTTAAGAACATATATACTTTCTATTGGGGGTCCCCAAGTCCCCCTTTGTTTAATGATTCACATAACCCAAGAAAGCTGATTTTTTCTATGGTTATAGTTTCTAACAGTGAAAGAAACCAGATTAAAATAATCAGAAGCATAAAAGCACATAAAGTTGAGTCCAGGACAAACCAGATGTGAGCTTACAGGTGTCCTTTCATAGTGGGGACTTCACACTGACTAATTTTCTTTACAATGGTGTGAGACAACATGTGTGAACTTGTTGCCAACTAGGGAAGCTCAGTCAGTCTTGAGTCCAGGGTTTTTATTAGGATTCCACCACATATGCATCGAGCGTCCTGTGACTGAACTTAGCTACTTAGTTCCCAACCTCCCTATGCCCTAAGAGAGGTCATATTAATATGGCATTACACAAAGTCATAGGCATACAGAAACAGGTGCTCACAAGAAATCACGTTGTTAACATCAGCTATTTGATATGACCTATGTTTTCAGATATACAAAGACTCTCTTCAGGCAGCATATACCAAGGGCTCATAGGTTATCATCTCCCAGGAGCTTGTCAAGGGCCAGTCCTGAAGACCTTTGGAATGTGCAAGGTTTTCGAAAGCCATGTCTGCAGAATTAACCCTTCATTACACAACCTCCAAGAATTTTTTTTAACTTTAAAAATGTTTTTTTGATCTTTGACAATGTACCAACCAATACTGAGTAATTAGTAACAACAGTGTACTCCTGAGTACTTTCACCTGCAAGGAGAAAAGGGACAGATGCTCTTACATAGGACAGATGCAAACAGACACCACTATGACAAGTAAAGCTGGAATAATCAATAAATTCCTAAAGACAAAGTGGGGCTGGTCAGATTGGAAGACCGCTGACAGCTGCAGAAGTTGGGAAATATCCATCATCTTGAAAACTTTTCCCCCACAAACCCACTGCGATCTTTCAAGCAATTGGTAAAGAATCCAAGAGAGCCTGTATATGATACAGATCAGGGGGAGCAGAACACTTGGGAGGTGACCAGGTATTGGGGGCCGGGCCCTTATGAATGGGATTAGTGCCTTTATAAAAGAAGCTCAGTGGAGTTCTTGTGTGCCTTCCACTATGTGAGGACATAGAAAGAAGGCACCATCTATGAACCTGAAATGGGCTCTCATCAACACTGAATTTGTGAGCATCTTGACCTGAGATCTTACAGCCTCAAGAAGTGTGAAAAAAGAAATATCTATTGTTTTTTAGTCACCCAGTTTATGTTATTTTGTTATAAGAGTCCACATAGACCAAGATATTCCACTTAATATGTAGGGGAAGGCAACAAAAACTGCCACACTTAGAATACTCCTGATGCTGGGAGTATGAAAACAGGAAAAACAAAACAAAACTGCTCTTGAAGGTGAAGGAGGAATATCACTGAGCACACCAACACAGCCAGGAAAAGAACAGAAGTGTGAGAAGGCTACATTCCTGAGACCATGAGAAAAAGTACCTGCATAAGACTGAGATGAAATTCCCAACCCTAGTTATAATTGAAATCCCAAAAAGAAAAGAGGAAAAAATAATGGAGCAAAAGAAATATATTTCAAAATAACTGCCAAAAATATTTTAAAAGAAGTGACAGAAAATCATACTTCAGTTATAGGAAACTCAGAGAATGTCAAATAGAACAAAAAGAAATAAGAATTACATCTTGAAAAGTCTTTAAAAAATCAAGTCTAAATTTTATATCTTGCTCCAAATATATAGAGATATAAATAGCTTATCATCAAGATATGGAGAAAGCCATATCATGGAAACACTAAAATAAAGCTGCGGAAGGACTACATTGATATTAGACTCAACAGAGTTCAGAACAAGAAATAGTATCAGAGATGAGAGATAATAAATAATATAATAATCAATTCTCAAGATGTAAACATCCTACTAATTAGGGTATGCAGCTAACAACAGAACCTCCAAATACATGAGGTAAAACAGGAAAGAAATCAAAGGTGAACTACAAAAATCCAAAATTATATTTGCAGACTTCAACACTTTTGTCTTAGTAATGGAAAGACTAGGCACAAACTCAGTAATCATGTGGAAGATAAGAACAACAATATCAGCAACAAGACATCCAATCTTCAATGGCAGATCCTCTTTCCTTTCAAGTGAAAAGAAAACAGTATGGCATTTTCTCTAACAAACCCAGAATTTCTAATATTTGCGTTCTTCCTTCCTTCTTTCCATCTTCCTTTCTCTTCTCTTCCCTTCTTCCTTCCTTTCTTCTTTTCTGCTTTCTTTTCCTTTCTTTTTTCTCCTTCCTTTCTTCTTTCCTTCCCCTTATTCTTCCTTCCCTCCTCCCTCCCTTTCTCCCTCCCTTCTTTTCTTCCTTCTTTTCTCCTATTCTTTCTCACTTTCTTTCCTTTTTTCTCCATTCCTCCCTCCCTTTTTCCCTTCCTCCCTCCCTTCCTTTCCTTTTTCCTTCCTTCCTCCCTTCTATTTTGTTTGCCTTCCTCCCTTTTACCAGTCTCTCTTCATCTTTTCCTTCCTCTTTCCTTCTTTTCTCACTTTCTTTCTCTTTCTTTCTTGAGTTCTTGCTTTCTTTTTTCTCCTTTCCTGCCTTTCTCCCTTCCTCCCTCCCTCCCTTCTCTCATTTCTTCCTTTTCTTTCTTCTTTCCTTCCTTCCTTTTTCTTTCTTTTCTTTCTCTTTATTACAATTCATATTATTTTTAAAAAATTAAGAAAGAGAGGCAGAAAAATAAAGCACAATTTAATCTGCAGGTAAATAGATTATGTCTGCTGTAGACAAAGTAATGGCCTCCCAAAAATGTTCATGTCCTAATTCCCGGAGTCTAACATACAAATATGTTAGGTTGCATGGCAGTGGGAAATTAGATTTCAAGTGAAATTAAGGTTCCAAAGGCAGTGGGGGCAAAAAGCCACGGTGGCAAAAAGGCGCAGTGGCAGGGGCAAAAACCACGGCAGCGGTTGGAGAAAGACGTGGCGGTGGGGGCAAAAAGCCTCGCTGAGGGGGTAAAAAGCTGCTGAGGCGGGGGCAAAAAGCAGCGGGAGGGGGGTAAAAAAACACAAAAAGCCTTGGCGGCTGGAGGAAAAAGCCACGTTGGCAGGGGGCAAAAAAGCTGCAGTGACAGGGGCGAAAAGCTGCAAAAAGCCAAGGTGGTGGGGGCAAAAACCTCGGCGGTGGAGGCAAAAAACTGCTGCGGTGGGGGCAAAAAGCCACGGAGGTGGTGGTTAAAAAAAAAGCTGTGGCAGCAAAAACCCGCGGCGGCGGGGGCAAAAACCCGTGCTGGCAGGGGAAAAAAACAGCAGTGGCAAAAAGCCACGGAAGCGGGGGCAAACAGCCCCTGCGGCGGGTGCAAAAAGCCGCAGCGGTGAGGGCAACAAGCCGTGGCTTCAGGGGCAAAAAGCTGCAGCGGTAAAAAGCCGTAGCGGCGGGGGCAAAAAGCCGCAAAAACAGCGGCGGCGGTAACAACCACCGCGACAGCAAAAAGCCTCAGCGGTGGGGGCGAAAAGCCACAAGAAGCAAGGGTAAAAAGCTGTGGCTTCGGGGGCAAAAAGCCACAGTGGCAAAAAACCGTAGCAGTGGGGCAAAAAGCTGCGGCAGTGGGTGCAAAAAGCAGCAGGAACAGGGGCAAAAAAATCACAAAAACCCGTGGAGACAGGGGGAAAAATCCACGGGGGCAAAAAGCCGCGGTGGCGGGGGGCAAAAAGCCGCAATAAGCAGTGGCGGCAGGGGCAAAAACCGTGGCGGCAAAAAGCCTCAGTGGCAGGAGCCAAAAGCCACGGTGGCGGGGGCAAAAAGCCACGGCTGCAAAAAGCCACAGTGGTGGGTCCAAAAAGCCGCGGCAGTGGGGATAAAAAGCTGTGACTGCAAAAAGCCACGGTGGAGGGCCCAAAAAGCCACGGCGATGGGGATAAAAAGCCGCGGTGGGGGCAAAAAGCCACGGCGGCGGGGAGTAAAATGCTGCAAAAAGCCGAGGCGGCGAGGGCAAAAAGCTGTGGCTTCGGGGGCAAAAAACCATAGCTGCGGGGCAAAAAGCCGCAGCGGCGGCGGGGGCAGAAAAACTGCAAAATCCCACGGCGACGGGGGGAAAGTTGTGGGGCCAAAAAGCCGCAGCAGCAGGGGAAAAAAGCCGCAAAAAGCAGCAGCGGTGGGGGCAAAAACCGTGGTGGCAAAAAGCCTCAGCGGCAGGAGCAAAAAGCCATGGCGGAGGGGGCAAAAAGCCGTGGCGGCAAAAAACTGCGGCGGCAAAAACCTGTGGCGGCAGGGGCAAAAAGCCGTGGATTCGGAGGCAAAGAGCCACGGTGGCAAAAAGCCATAGTGGCGGGGGCAAAAAGCCGCGGCGGCGGGGGCAAAAAGCTACGGCGCCAAGGGCAAAAAGCAGTGGCTTCGGAGGCAAAGAGCCGCAGCGGCAAAAACCCGCAAAAAGCCACGGTGATGGGGTCAAAATGCCACCGCGGCAGGGGTAAGAATCCACGGCGGCGGGGGCAAAAAGCCGCGGCGGGAGAAACCCGCAGCGGCGGGGGCAAAAAGCCGCGGCAGCGGTGACGAAAAGCCATAGCGGCGGGGGCAGAAAGCCGCGAGGCGGGGGAAAATGCCGCAGCGGCGGGGGCAAAAAGGCGCGGCGGAGGGTGCAAAAAGCCCCGGTGGTGGGTCAAGGAGCCGCAAAAAGCCCCAGCGTGGGGGCAAAAAGCCGCGGCGGCAGTGGCAAAAAGCAGTGGAGGTAAAAAACACTCGGCAGTGGCGACAAAAAGCAGCGGCGGCAAAAAGCCACGGTGGCAGGGGCACAATAGTGGAAATGGGGTAGAAGGACAACACAGCTTGGCATTCCTGGACTGTGATGTGGAAGGAAAAGTGCCGCAGAAGACATAGATGTAAGTAGGCTTGACTCAGTGCAGGTAAGAACTCAGATGTTATCTTGATGTTACCTATCAGCTAATTTTTTGTATTTTTGTAGAGATGGGGTTTTACCACATTGGCCAGGATTCTCTGGATCTCCGGAGCTTATGATCCACGCACCTCAGCCTCCCAAAGTGATGGGATTAGAGGCCTGAGCCACAAAGTGCTCAAAAAATCTATTAATTAAAAAATGTGTATGTAGCCGTCTTCAATCTACCATGTCCATTAGCAGATAAATACTACAAGCAAAATAACAACAATGAAATAAACATAGAGTAGATACTCTGATTTATTTAATAAAAATTTGAAAGTAGACCAAATTATTCTATGATAAAAAAAATCTGTTACTATTGAGGATGAGGGTTAGTGTTTGGAAAGGGGCAGGAGAAGTATCACTATTTTTAGTAATGTTCTATTTTCGTACATGGCTATAAGCAAATACATGTGTTTCATTAATCAAGCTATCCATATTTAATCATTGTACTTTTCTGCATGTATGATATATGTCAATAAAATGTCTTAAATTATATACAGCAAAATTAGACAAAACCACAAGAAGACATACACAAATGTTAGACCCAGAGAGAAATTTGAATATAAGTAAGTCTCTGAATGACTGCTAGAACAAACCAAAAAATAATCAGGATGGAGAGGTTTGGAACAGCGTGACTAGCAAAATTGACATATCTGTCTTTTAATATAGGCAGAAACATAGTTAGATAAAAAAAGGACTTGTCTCAGAGCATGATTTCTGAAAATAGTGGAATCGACTTTGAATCTAGTAAGTACATATAAATAAATGTCTTAAAACTCCTCTTATGTTAGCTAATTAAGAAATATTATTGTAATAGATATTAGAAAATATTTTAATAAATTGAGTGGATTTCACATGCTAAGGAAGTGATCTTACTTGCATTTGATAGTTCAATTAGATACATATATACCTATAGGTAGTTTAAAATATTTCTAATAACCTTATATACTTTTAAAAAGCATTGATATCTGTTTGCACTATCTGGTCTATAGAGTACACATACCAAACATGATTATAGCTCTTCTGCTATAAACTTCAAATATCTAATTAATACAAAAATCTAGAATGAGAAGAGTTCTTCGCATTTTTTTTTTACCAAATAGAATATAGGAAGGATAGCTGCAAATATACCTGACACAATTATCTGTGAGTATGGTGGTAGCCTTTTTATTTTATTTTATTTTATTTTTGAGAGAGGGTCTCACTTTGTCACCCAAGATGGAGTGCAGTCATGTGATTAGAGCTCACTGAAGCCTTCACATACTGTGCTCAAGTGATTCTCCCACCTCAGCCTCCTGAGTAGCAGGGACTGCAAGTGCATGACACCATACTAGCTAATTTTTGTGAAGATGGGGTTTCACCATGTTGCCCTGGCTGATCTCCAACTCCTGGACTCAAGAGATCTGGCCACCTTGGCCTCCCAAACTGCTGGGATTATAGTTTTGAGGCACCGAGATCAGCCCAGCCTTAAAAAAGACTGACTAGAGATCTTTATCTATGTATATCTATATCTATCTATAAAATAAACATATGTGTTTATTATGTAAAAATATACATTATTAATATTATATAGAAATTTTTTTTCAAGGTAGAAATATATAAAGAGGGTGCATGTAGAGCCTGGGGCATTGTGTAGTGAAGCTCAAGGCCTCTGAAGAAATGCCCCTTGCCTCTTTTGTCTGGGCTAGGATCCAAGAAGGGAAAGCAGCAGATGCACTGGTTCCCAGGTTCTTGGCATAATACAGAGAGAAACATGTTTGAGCTAGGGTAGCGTTAAACACCCTTGTTCTTACTCTCCTGTTTTATGTAGTGAGCAGAGACTAGCTTCATGAGAACAGAGTGTGACAGTCAAGGCTGTCTGATATTTTGTGCAGCATTCATTGAGAAATTCTAGCACCTGAAGTCCTCTGGGCCATTTGAGGGTAGGTGCAGGGGAGGAAAGGGAAGTTTGCATCCCTCCTGCTGTGGAGAGAACCCGTGGGAAGCACAGACCTTGTCCTAACTGAAGGCAGACCCCCTTGCTAACCAGCTTCTCATCAGCCAACCCTGGATGAGTTTCCATGTCTATTTACTAAATAATCCTTATTGCTTTTCTTCATACGGGCAAAGTATGGTTTACAGGGAATATTGTTCCTTTGAACACCCATTGTGCAAACCCCTTCCTGTTGTGGGAAAACAGGCTTCCATATGTGTCTTATTGGGAAACACATAGGAAATTTCTATGTTTTTACTGCATCTATTTCAGGGATATGGGAACTGAATAGTGCCCATCAAAGGCTCACCTATGTTGGAAACTGATCTGAGAGCACGGAAGCAGAATTATTTCTTTGTTCCTGGGCAGCGGTGGTTGAGGGATCATTTTGTGGCAGCTACAGTGGCAATGATGGAGGCAGAACGGAGGGCTCAGTACCAAGACGAGGAGAGATTTGGCCTCACAATGGCAGCATTGCAGGGGTGCGCTCTACAGAGCATCTGCTCACATGGTTTTGGGCATTGTCTCTAACTACATTGCTTCCCCAATAGGTTGACCCATTCTAAATAACTCCTTTTCTCTTTAAAACAGAAAACTTCATTTGCATGACTTGCAATTGTAAATGACACCAATTGGCCAGTTATCATTCAAATTCTCTGTTACTTAATCCTGCCTTTTCCTAACGTATGCAACTTTCCTCTAAAAAATTGGACACTTTGTTGCATACTCATTGTCTTTACACATTTTAAAATGTTGCTTTATGCCCCCAATCCCTAACTACATTTTCGATGTTTTGCAAGTGGAGTCCATGTGTTCTTGATTTACATGAAACTCAAAATAATGGTTATAGTAACTAGTACTTCATAATTAAGCAAAAAGCTCTTATTGAAAAATGACAGAACTATACATAGAGATGACAACATGGAGAGATATTTCCTGAGATCACAAAGTTATGGTATGGCAGAACTAGAACGTTGAGTAGAGACTCTGTGTTCCCAATCATTATTTCTACCACCAGCTTTCTATTTTGATGTTAATAATGTTCTTATGTGGGAAACCCTACATATTTGCCAATGTTTAGTTCATAAACAAAGAAATATAAAGAGCTTCAAGAACACTCTAATCTTTAAAAAATAAAATATCTATAATTGGCCATACGAAAAAATTGGTACTTGACATATACTGAGATCGTTTTATTTTGTGCTAGACAAATGAAGTCATAGAACAGAATGTGCTTTAAATATTATAAATAGTGCTTACGTGTGTGTGTGTGTGTGTGTGTGTGTGTGTGTGTGTGTGTGTTTATAGATGCATATTAGGTCCCTGTAAAGTTTTACTATTCTTTCCAGGAGAGAGACTGCCAACTTTTGAACCTAATTAGAACAAGTATATTGCTTCTTCATATTTTTATTAAGGCAAAGAGTGTCTAGTTAAAAATAATTCAACTTATCATGGAAATGTTATAAATTGCTGGGAAGTGAGTTGCTGGCTATGGCTTGTCAGAGCAAATATATTGTACAAATCTTAGGGGAGAATTAGTGCTTATGCATTCAAATCAAATCATCTTGCAGCACACTGAGAAAAAGGTTAGATTTTTAAAATAATTTCGAAGTCATGAAAAGAGCAAATATGCTCAACAAAGAGCCTAGCAACCCTCAATGACCAATTCCCCTTTTATATAGTTTGGTATCTGAATTAGAATCCCAGAATCTACAAATTCCTCTGGGTGTGGGTGCTGCATTTTGAGGATTTTATAACACTGCCATCATCAAGCTCTATTTTGATTTTCACTTTAAGGAGATAATTTACGGGCAACCAGAGAGCATAAACCAAAGTAGATATCTATCTAGATAGATAGATACATCTCCATATCACTGACAGGATACCTTCTGGCCGAGTGTGAGTACAACCTATGGGTGTGGTTGGAGAGAACATGTGTTCCACCTGAATGGCAGATCAAGATTATTCCTTCTCATCTGCTGCAATGGCCCAATGTGTTAAGGAGAGGAGCGAGACAGCAAAAACTGCATTCATTCAGTCATACAGACCAAAAGGAGGAATGTCGCCCAGCCCTCTAAACTGACCCAGAACCCAGCTCATGTCTTAACTGCTACCTCTACTACTTATAAAGAAGTAACTCCACCAAAGCAGGGTTCTGGACAAATATATTTTTATTGATCTTATACAAATAGATGAAGATGGACTTGGATGTTAAGAAAAATAATACTATAAAAAATCAAGAGTAGACAGTCCCTCCTAGACTTAAATTAAGAGTGTGTACATTAGATAATTTAATCCAATGTATCAGGTAAAAACTTGAACAAACCTTTTGGCCTCTTCCATAAAATTCAGGGAAGCCTGTCGTCCACAAAACAGAATCAAAATATAAATGAAAGACTGGCTTAAGATGAAAGGAAACCTTATAAATGAAAAGAAACCAGATGAGAGGCACTTAACTGAGAATGAAAAACAACTGAGTGGAAAAAAAATTATGGGAAGATGAATCTTCAAATCAGAAAGAGGGAAAAAAGCTCATTTGATACTATAGGAACTCAGAAGAGAGTGAATACAAATGTGAAAATTCCAAGAGTACAGAAAAGTAGCATAACTAAATTAAGAGCATGAGAAAATGTACACAATTCTGCGTAATAAGAACAGAAATCAAAAGTTAGTATTTTATGTTATATTTTAGTAGAGCAACACTGAAGACGAATGAAAACAAGAAATAATATTAAATATGAACATAAGGAGAACAGAATAATATTTTTAAAATTTTTACTTTCTAAGTGTACCTGAAATTTTAATTTTGGTTTCTTATGTAATACTAGAGTTATTAGGAAGGTATTTGCTAATAACACTATTTTCAGTGATATTTTAAGTATTTGTCCTAGAAAAATTTCTATTTTTAAAAAATGTATATTTAAAAATACATTAAGTGTGTATATACATCAATCATATGTATCGATTTCTGTTTTTTTTTTTTTTTGAATTGCAAATGAAATTTGTATTTTTGTGCTCCTGGAATAAAATAAACTTGAATGGATCGTAATATATTATTCATGCTGTAATTCAATGTATTTGAATTATTTAAGAATGTTACATTTATAGTTAACAGATATTGACCTATAAATTTTCTTTCCTATAATGATGCTGTGAGACAATCTAAGAAGAATTAAAATTTAAATTCATGTATTCCTACTTTTTCCTCTGTTCTCTAACTGTAATATATTTTAATTACAGATGGAGGAACAGATAGATGTTAGATAAATAGGTATATAATAGACAGATCATCCAAAATTCTTATTCTTATGGTTTTATGTAGTCAGTATTTACCTCTATTTTTCTACATGTTTATCCTTCCACTATAGTTCATTACTTCCTGCACATTTGATGTCATATGGCCGGGAATTAGAGAGAGCCACAGGACTTGTGAATAAAATCCACAGGCAAGGATGTGGCGATTCGTTTTGCAGTATTGGAGGGAATGCCAAATGCTATGTTTGCTGTGGAAAAGAGTATGGTAGTCCCTCAAAACATCAAAATGGTATTGCCATATGATTCAGCAGCGCCACATCTCAGGATAGCAAAAGAATTGAAAGCAGAGTCTTGAAAAAATATTTGCACATCATGTTTGCAGCAGCGTTATTGGCAATAGCTAAAACGTAGAAGCAATTGAAGTGTCCAACAACAGACGAATGGATAAGCACTATATCATATATGCATACAATTGAATATTATTCTGCCTTAAACATGAGGGAAATATTCTGACATATGTTGCAACTTGGATGAAACTTGATGATATTATGCCAAGTGAAATAAGTTAGTCACTGAAGGACAAATACAGTATAATTCCGTTTGTATTAAAGTGGACAGAATCATAGAGATGGTACAATGATGGTTGCCAGAAGTTGAGGGGAGGAAGAAATGGGGAAGTATTGTTTAATGGGTACAGAGTTTCAGTTTTACAAGATGAAACGAATTATGGAGATGGATGGTAGGGATGGCTGCACAATGTTATGACTATATTTAGTACCACTGAACTGTACATTTAAAATGGTTAACAGAGTACATTTTATGTTATGTGTATTTTACCACAATAAAAAAAAAAAATCTTAGGAACATTTTCATGAAAAAGCCCACATAAAATTCATTTTAATGCACGTGTTTATGCATAGCTTTCTATTTTTCTCTTTTCTCTTTATATTCCAAATTTAAAAAAGGTGTTTTAATTCCAAATTAAAAAGGTGTTTATATTCCAAATTAAAAAAATTCAAAGTTACAGTCAAATACACAAAAAAAGCTTAGTCTCATTAATCATTATGAAAATGCTAATGGTAACTGAAAGAAGATACAACCACAATTCAAAGAGAAAGCCTAAAATTTCAACCCCCCAAAACGTCTAGGTTTTGGAGATCTGGGATGGAATAGGTTTCCTAACCTGACAGCAATGAAAGAACCAAACTAACTTCAAAGTCATGACTTTATTTTTATAGCAACGAGGTTGCCAAGAACTGAGTCAAAATGTGAGGGAAAACAAGCACCTGCAAGGAGAAAGAGGACAGATGCACTTACATAGGACAGATGCAAATAGACACCACTATGACAAGTAAAGCTGGAATAATCAATAAATTCCTAAAGACAAAGTGGGGCTGGTCAGATTGGGAGACCTCTGACGCTGCAGAAGTTGGGAAATATCCATCATCTTGAAAACATTTTCCCCACAAACCCACTGCGATCTCTCAAGCGATTGGTAAGGAATCCAAGAGAGTCTGTATATGACACAGATCAGGGGGAGCAGAACACTTGGGAGGTGACCAGGTCTTGGGGGCCGAGCCCTTATGAATGGGATTAGTGCCTTTATAAAAGAAGCTCAGTGGAGTTCTTGTGTGCCTTCCACTATGTGAGGACATAGAAAGAAGGCACCATCTATGAACCATGAAATGGGCTCTCATCAACACTGAATTTGTGAGTATCTTGGCCTGAGATCTTACAGCCTCAAGAAATGTGAAAAAAGAAATATCTGTTGTTTTTTAGTCACCCAGTTTATGTTATTTTGTTATAAGGGTCCACATAGACCAAGACATTCCACTTAATATGTAGGGGAAGGCAACAAAAACTGCCACACTTAGAATACTCCTGATGCTGGGAGTATGAAAACAAGAAAAAAAAACTGCTCTTGAAGGTGAAGGAGGAATATCACTGAGCTCACCAACACAGCCAGGAAAAGAACAGAAGTGTGAGAAGACTACATTCCTGAGACCCTGAGAAAAAGTACCTGCATAAGACTGAGATGAAATTAACTACTCTAGTTATGATTGAAATCCCAAAAAGAAAAGAGGGAAAAATAATGGAGCAAAAGAAATGTTTTTCAAAATGACTGCCAAAAATATTCTGCAAGAAGTGACAGAAAATCAAACTTCAAATATAGGAAACTCAGAGAATGTCAAATAGAACAAAAAGAAATAAGAATTACATCTTGAAAAATCTTTTAAAAATCAAGTCTAAATTTTATATCTTGCTCCAAATATATAGAGATATAAATAGGTTATCATCAAGATATGGAGAAAGCCATATCATGGAAACACTAAAATAAGGCTGTGGAAGGACTACATTGATATTAGACACAACAGAGTTCGGAACAAGAAATACTATCAGAGATGAGAGAAAATAGGTAATAAAATAATCAATTCTCAAGAAGATGTAAACATCCTACTAATTAGGGTATGCAGCTAACAACAGAACCTCCAAATACATGAGGTAAAACAGGAAAGAAATCAAAGGTGAACTACAAAAATCCAAAATTATATTTGCAGACTTCAACACTTTTGTCTTAGTAATGGAAAGACTAGGCACAAACTCAGTAATCATGTGGAAGATAGGAACAACAATATCACCAACAAGACATCCAATCTTCAATGGCAGATACTCTTTCCTTTCAAGTGAAAAAAAAAACAGTATGGCATATTGTCTAACAAACCCAGAATTTCTAATATTTGCATTCTTCCTTCCTTCTTTCCATCTTCCTTTATCTTCTCTTCCCTTCCCCTGCCTTCTTCCTTCCTTCTTTTCCTTTTCCTTTTCTTTTCTTTTTTATTTTCCTTTCTTTCTCTTCTTTCTTTTTTATCCTTCCTTCCTTCTTTCCTTCTTTCTTTCTTTCCTCTTATTCTTCCTTCCCTCCTCCTTCCCTTCCTTTCTCTCTCCATTTTCTTCCTTCTTTTCTCATATTCTTTCTTTCTCACCTTCTTGCTTTCTTTCCTTTTTTCTCCCTTCCTCCCACCCTCCTTTTCTTCCTTCCTCTCTCCCTTCCTTTCCTCTTTTTCCTTCCTTTCTTCCTTCCTACACCTCTTTATTTTCTTTGTTTCTATGCCTTCCTCCCTTTTACCATTCTCTTTTCTTCCTTTCCTTCCTCCCTTCCTCCTTTCTTTCTTTCTCTCTTTCTTTCTCTTTCTTTCTTTCTTGTGTTCATGCTTTCTTTTTCCTCCCTTCCTGCCTTTCTCCCTTCCTCCCTCCCTCCCTTCTTCCCTCATTTCCTCCTTCTTTTCTTTCTTCTTTCTTTATGTCCTTCCTTCTTTCCTTCCTTTTTCTTTTTTTGATTTCTTTTCTTTCTCTTTACTACAATTCATATTCTTTTTAAAAAATTAAGAGAGGGAGACAGAAAAATAAAGAATGCTTTCATCTGCAGGTAAATAGATTATGTCTGCTGTAGGCAAAAGAATGGCCTCCCAAAAATTTTCATGTCCTAATTCCCAGAGTCTAACATACAAATATGTTAGGTTGCACGGCAGTGTGAAATTAGATTTCAAGTGAAATTAAGGTTCTGGAAAAATGATAGAGAGATTGTCTTAAATGGGTGGGATCAATGAAATGACAAACTTCCTTATAAGTGAAAGAAGAAGGCAGAAGAAAGGCAACCTTGGAGGTGGTGGCATGAGAAATTGCTCAACATCACTGACTTTTAAGATACAATAATGAGGACCCAGCACGGTGGCTCACGCCTAATCTCAGCACTTTGGGAGGCTGGAGTGGGTTTATCACGAGGTCAGGAGATCGAAACCATCGTGGCTAACATGGTGAAACCCCATCCCTACTAAAAATACAAAAAATTAACTGGGCATGGTGGCAAGTGCCTGTAGTCCAAGCTACTCAGGAAGCTGAGGCAGAAGAATCACTTGAACCCGGGAGGCAGAGGTTGCAGTGAGCTGAGATCGTGCCACTGCACTCCAGACTGGGTGACAGAAGGAGAATCCATCACCAAAAAAAATAAGAAAAATAGGATATAAGAATGAGGTCATGTTCCAAGGATAAAGGTGGCCTCTGGATGCTGAAAAAAATCAAGTAGTAGATTCTGCCACATAGCCCTCAGAAAGACTGCAGCCCTGCCCAAAACTTGATGTTAGCCCTGTGAGTTTCATTTAAGGCTTCTGAACTACAGAACTGTAGGATTAACGGTCACTTTATTGTAAGATATGAAGTTTGTGGTAATTGGTTACAGCAGCAAGAGGAAGTTTATATTGTAATTGTATCATGAAAATGAGAACCATAATTTACAACTGCTTTTAATACTGCACTTGGATGTTTGAAATCACTTACATGGAAATGATCTCTATGTGCATGAGGGAGGATAGCAAATTGATGCCAAAATAATGCAAATGTAAATCTTACACTCATTTCTATGTAGGTTTCATTTAAACTTTGAAATTAAAATGAAATTAAGAGATTGTGATATTTTGATGAAATTAGACTAAAATGAACAATAACAAAATAAGAACTTATATTGTTTATATGGTCAATAAAGAAGTGATAGTGGAAAAAAACAAGATCAAATGAAGATGATGATTTAGGAAGTTGGAAAGGCAGCTGAAACTACAAAACGGTATATAACCAGTGAACACTTAGACACACTGATTGATGAACTTCAGCTTTTGGCTTGGTGAGAGCATAAAATGAGAGCAGCTGAGGTTTGCAAATTTGTAATCTCCCTGTGGAAAACCAGGGGAAAACACATCTCAGCCTAATAAGATTTATCTACTAAAGAGTCTAGATTTGATCCATTTGTCCTTGTAATTCAAAAGCTAATTCAAATACTGATCTGATGTGTTGTGTGAACAACCATTGCTGATTATCATCGCATACCTGGCATTCTCTTTTATCTGATATCTGAAATATTTGGTAATTCATGGACTTTCTCTTTTCAAACCCAGTACGGTTTAATTTGAGTCTTAGAACAGTTGTCTTTGGGAAATTCTTCCCTCTACTGCATCTGTGAATGGGCATAGCATGGTTACATACATACTGTCACTCCATAGAACATTTGTTATATTAAAGCCAAAGTTTAAAGCAAGAGCTTTAACTTACTGGTTTTGCTAATGTTTTCCTCCCCAATAGCCACAACAATATTGATACCCTCACACCTTTTAACATAAAGCTTGGTGTTGTCTATTTTTCAGGTGCTGTCATCTATATGATCTCAGTATTTTAAAAATCAGCTTCCAGCCCATATGGTGGTTCATGCTTGTAATAACAGCAGTTGAAGAGACTGAAATGAGAGGATTCCTTGAGCCCAGGAGTTCAAAAGCAACCTGGGCAACATAGCAAGACCCAGTCTCTATCAAAAGTTAAAAAAAAAAAAAGTGGTCATGGTGATGTGCACCTGTTGTCCTAGCTATTTGGGAGGTCAAGGTGGAAGGATTGCTTGAGCTTGGGAGGCTGAGGCTGCAGTGAGCAGTGATTGCACCACTGCACTCCAGCCTGGGCAACAAAGCAAGACACTATCTCAAAAAATATATATAATAAAAATAAAGGCCGGGCGCGGTGGCTCACGCCTGTAATCCCAGCACTTTGGGAGGCCGAGGCGGGTGGATCATGAGGTCAGGAGATCGAGACCATCCTGGCTAACAAGGTGAAACCCCGTCTCTACTAAAAATACAAAAAAATTAGCCGGGCGTGGTGGCAGGCGCCTGTGGTCCCAGCTACTCAGGAGGCTGAGGCAGGAGAATGGCGTGAACCCGGGAAGCAGAGCTTGCAGTGAGCCGAGATTGCACCACTGCAGTCCGCAGTCCGGCCTGGGCGACAGAGCGAGACTCTGTCTCAAAAAAAATAAATAAATAAAAAAAATAAAAATCAGCTCTCATTGATTTCTATGTAAATATGCACAGGTGATGTCCATATAGACATAAATAATATTATTTCTGACAATGGGTCCATATGATCTTCAAAATGTAAAATGCCTATCTGTGTAATTGACTGGTTAGTCTCATTAATGAATATAGATTCAATTCTACTTTCTTTTTCTACATAAATTATATAATCTAGCTTTTCATTTCACTTATTTACTGATAACAACAGGAAGAATGACAAGATATCTATTTTGGAAAATTACTCTGGTAGGTGTAAAGATGAAACAATGATAGAATTGCACGGAAAACTAGAAAAAAGTATGGTCTTCTGATATTCTATCACATCACATACTAAAGGCCTCATAAAACTCAGATATTTTATCTAAAAATGTTATTTTCATCATAGGAATGATCAAAGCATGAGACTACAATTATATTAAAATGTGCTTGTATCACAAGCACAGGTGCTGAAAAGGAGGGGAATACATCATTACTGATATTTTCAACGTATGTTTTACTTTTCATCAACATGAACCTCAACTTGATATGACTCAGATTGAAGGAAATCACCCATAATTCCATATGAAGAAGGCCTGTGATATTTTATGGGAAAATAAATAGAGAAAATGCTAACAGAAACCCTGTTAAGCATGAAGTTTTATGGAGGAAACGCAAATCCAGTGGTGAAAGATTCACACTCGGGTTCTGTTTGTTGTCTTGGAACAATACGGTTTAGAGATGACTGGCGGGTGAGGAGAACATATGCGAGTTCACCAAAGAGAAAAGCTGAATGAGGCAAGGCCTCTTCCTGACCATATCTATTACTCAGATAGGTATATAATTTATTGTCCAGTAAAGGGTATATTAAAAAATCATATTAAAAGTCATGCAGTGAAGTTGTCCAGGAAAATCAAGACTTAACAGTCTCACTCTGACAATAATGAACAGGGGAATTCCCTCAAGATAGACTAGGACATGACCCCACACTGGCAGGTAGTAGTACCAGAAAAGAACCCAGGGAAAATCTTTACCTTATGCTTGAGGTAGGGACCAGGCTAAAGTGAAAGCCAGACATAAAATTCTATCTAAAATAAATCCACAATCGAAGAAAATATGTGGTGTACAGGCATTGAATATCTTTACTGGATCATTGACATAGTAAGATAAATTCAACTTTTTACATTGTTTTCTTTTCCTCCAGTTAGGGCTTGAGGTTTGTCTCTGGAGAGTGACTGTCAATTGGAGCCCTGCCTTTCTGGGTTTCTGGTCAGGAGGTTGTGGATGCTTAACATGTGCCTTTCACAGGACACTTCCTTACCCCAGCAGTGGCCAGGTGTGCATCCCACGACCAGGCCTCCCTCTCACAGAACATCTGTTGAGACTAGGAGAGGCCTGGTGACTGTTGCCTGACCTGTGTCCTGTGTATTTCTGACAAGAGCCCCTCTCAGAGACCCTGGCCAGGAGTAGAGTTAGGTTCCAGTGTAGGTCAGCTCAGACCCATGGAGGCCACAGAACCAAACATGGGAAATCACAGAAGTAGGTTTATTACAGATCCAGAGAGAAGAGGGTAGCTGAGAAGAGGGTTTAGCTGTGTCCCCAGCCAAATCTCATCTTGAATTCCCACATGTTGTGGGAGGGAACAGGTAGGAGGTAATTGAATCATGGGGGCAGGTCTTTCCCATGCTGTTCTTCTGATAGTGAATAAGTCTCACAAGGTCTGATGGTTTTATAAAGGGGAGTTTCCCTGCACAAGCTCTCTTGTCTTGTTGGCTGCCATGTGAGACGTGCATTTCACCTTGCACCATGATTGTGAGGCCTACCCAGCCATGTGGAACTGTGCATCTATTAAACCTCTTTCTTCTGGAAATTACCCAGTCTTGGGCATGTCTTTACTGGAGGTGTGAAAATGGACTAATACAGTAGCACACCTCATAGGGCTGAACAAAATGGGGAAGATGAGTGGGGAGCAGGAGAGAGAAAAGGGGTATGTGGGACTCCAGCCTTTATTGGGCCCAGAACATTACCCGAATAAGTTTTCCACGGGGCACTAGTCGGTGGGGTGAGTGCCAGCAGGCACATTTCTTGACTCCCGCTGCAACTGAGCAGGTCACTCTGGCGTGTGGGGGCTGTCCATGTGCGCTGTGAGGTCTGTGGGGTGAGTTAGGTAGGTTGTATCCAACGGTTCCATAGCTGGTAGTCACCCGGAGGAGGCAACTGTGTAGGGTCAATATCTGGGCCAGCCACACTGAGGAACTGTGAGGGTTAGAACTGGAAATTGTCAAGGGAATCTGAACCCAGCAACCATATGAGAGAGTTCAACTTATGTTCAATATGAATGCCATGGCAATATTAAAAGGTAAGAATTCTCTCCATACGTGCTTGAGGTAAATAGGAGAAACCTAGAATTTATGTAAACAGTGAGAAGATTGGATGCGTTTTCCATCACATATTTTAACACTAGCAGCATATTATATATGTCAATCCATCAGGCATTCAGAAATACATGCTTATGAAAATTTTTTGCACCATCAGAGAAAAGACAAGGGTAGAAGACATTTGCAACCGTATAAACACTAGTAAATTAAAAACAGAAGGACCTTTATGTCCTAACATATCTGTGTTGTGAAAGGCTGCCCTGTGAAATATGGGATTTCTTAAACATATTTTAAAAATCATAGGTGTCAATATTTTTTAGAAATCCATTTAAATTCTCTCTTGCTATTTTACAATGCCTATTTATTCATTTAGTGGCTCTGCTGATTTTGATGTATATCCTAAACTTTACATTTTCTTTAAAGGATGTTTTATACAACTTTAGTAAAATGTTTCAGTGTCTTCACATTCTCTCCCTGTCCTTTTGTTTTGCTCTTATATGGTGGTCTTGAGTCTTTTCTCTGGCTTTTCAAACCTAGTAAGACTAAGACACTAAGGGAACTTTGCCCGTGGTTTGGTAATGCCTTCTAAAGCACTTCCTAAACTCTCGTGCATACAGGGGTCTCCTTTGAGCTCTGTGCTTTTGAGATCCCATATACCGAAATTCCAGTACTCCAAATCAGTACTGCTCAGTTTTAGTGACTAAGTTTAAAAATGTATTTTAATAGCAAGTTAGTTTAGTGCACTCTTGCTTCTTTCTTGACTGCTTGTATACATGTATATTCCTTTAAATGAATCTTGGAATTTATTTAAAAATTTTAAATTATACTAATGAAACTGTATATTGTTGTGAATTCATAAGTGAATTTGGAAAGAATTTGTCTTTATGATACTAAATCCTTTTTATCCAAGAATCATATGTGTCTTTATATTTATTCCAGTCTATATTTATATCTCTGAGTAAATATATAGAAAAGTAGATACATACAGCTGTATAGATACAAATATAGATGTAACTGTTAAATCTATATCCCATATAACATGTATACATGTTATATGTGTGTGTGTATATGTATATGTTTATGTTATTAAAGAGCTCCCATAAAATTTTTCTTTTATTTCCTATATAAATTTTAGGTCGAGCTTGAATTTTCCTTGTATAAACAAGCAAATATTTATACTAGTTTTAATACTGATGTATAGACATTCTATCTTATTTTAGCATTGAATGTTTTCACAATTATTATAAATATTATCTAATATTAATAATGTACCTGTTAAAAATATTTAAAATTTTAACTTTGAATTAATTTATTGTTGAATTAAAATTCCTTTAATATGATAGTAAGCTTCTATTTTTTGCTTTCTCTATGAATATACAAATTAATCTATCCACTTCTCTATCTCTATGCAGTAACATATGAAAATCAGGCCTCTCTTCTTCTAATGGACATACACATGTGTGCATATCGAATATCAGACTCTTTATAGCATTTAAAATCTTTAAAGACATGAATATTGCCTTTTAACAAATATATTTTGGCATGTTCTGAGAATCCCCTATTTATTATTAATTTGGGCTAATCAATATGATTATTAATATTATTGGATTACCAAATTTGGAAACACACTTTCATCCCCAAGGTGGATATTTGTTTTATTTATTTTTTGGTAATTTCTTGTCTTACTGTTTCAAATATTGTTGGATATTATTTTTATTTTATTTGGGATTTTAGTATCAACATTTGTAATTGATGTACTCTACATATTTTTTCTTCAATATATGGTGGGTTTTATAGTTACTGCTATATTGGATTTGTAGTAGATATTGACAAAAAGTATTCCTGTATGTTTTATAGCTGTATGAAGGAAACTAATATATTTTACCCCTAAATGTATTTCCTTGATATATTTCAAAATGGCTATTGAGAAGGGCTGGAAATACAAACTTAGCTGCAAAGCTGTCTTGGGGAGATTTGCATTGGTAGAGAATCTGCCTTGATGCAGCCAGGCTTTCTCTGAGGTCTGCCCCCTTGTCTGGATCTAGGAAAGCTTAACTGAGAGTCTGAGGTCTCCAAAGGTCTGAAAGAAACATTTTCTGTCTATTCTCTCTGAGGACTACTCCCAGTGTGGTTCCACCTATGTAATAAGTCCACTGTTGCTAGCCAGGGTCGTTTTCTCACATAACCTTTTTTTTTTTTCCCTGTGATCCAAGACCCCATTCTTTCTGTAAACTTCATGTGGTAGATAAGCTTCTGCACGCATCGTGTGTCTGGGTCTTCATTCTAAGGACTCCGGTGTACACACATTCCAGAAACCTGTATGCCATTTCTACTATTTACCTGCCTCCTATTAGTGATTTTCAGGGAAACTTCAAAAGGCAAAAGGGACATTCTCCTTTAGCCCATTCTCAGACAAAATCCCCCAACATTTAACTGATTCCTAATAGCTTAAAATCACTTTGAAAAATCCATATATTTATAACCTTTTCTTCCCTCTATGATTTCTGGTCAGCTTGGGTTTTGGTTTTCATTCCATTTACTTCATCCTCGAAAAGATCTATTTTACGTCTATTTATTCTCATTTATGGACATTGAGAAAAGAAAATAACTTTCATGTGAGAAATGCAATTCCTCTTAAATAATCAGGCCCAGAGAGATATTCAAATGAGACAGCAGTTCTGTCCCGCTCCTCTTTGAGCTGTGTGTTCATCTAGGCTGCTTGCTGTTGCCACAGTAGCTATAAATTAACCAATAACGCCACACCAGACACTATATTCCACACCCAATAATAGTGTAACAGTGTATAGCCAGTCACTAATAAATGTTATTTCCATAAGCCAATGAGAATTTGTGACAAACCTCTTTGCATCATCCCACTTCTGGACCCTTTTTTGCCTTTAAGAAACTGCTTGTTGCAAAGCTCCAAAGGGAGTTCATATCCAAGGATACTTGGGTCTGTTTCTTCCAGGCAGCTGTCCTCATTTTGGCTCCAGTAAACTCTTTGAATTACGTTTTGTGCTTCAGCCCCTTCCACTTAGATTAACAACATGGATTTGTGTCACCATGTACAGCAATTAAAATGTTTACACTTTTCCCCTCGTGGGCACTGATGTGTTTTCCTGAGCACTTGGAATAGCTACGTAGTGTTTACTGTCTAGATTATGGTTTCTCAACCTTGGTGCTACTTACCTTTAGGACCAGAGGATTCTTTGTTGTGGGAGGCTGCCCTAGCAATGCTAGGTGTTTCGTTTGACCTCTAAATTTGACCTCCACCAGTCTTGACATCCCCACAATAACCCTAGACATTGACAAATGTCTCCTGGGGAAAACTCTCCACCAGTTGACACTCAAAGTTCTGGAAATATTGGAATTGTCAATTGAGATTTTATGTTATCCAAAACAAATACTTTTCTTTGTTTTTAAGCATCTACTTCCATCTACTTATCTACTTATTTTTACTTTTATTTGTAACTTAATTCCATCAAGGAGAGAGAGTGCATTTTCTGTTATGCTAAATTTTTGAAGAATGTATTGATTTTTTATGACCTGATATATGGATGATATGTAGATATTACATGTTTGTATTATCAAATTTCAGGGTGATAATAAAATAAATACTTATAATATTTATATTGTCACTGTATATTAGTTATTTTCTTTCTTCACTACAGGAGTTTTTCAACCTATAGGCTATTTTTCAATTCTAGGTTATCCAGTAGATTTTGAAATGTTATGATTAAATATCTACTTCTCAAGCATTCATCTTTGCAAATGAAACAATCCCAAGCTCTTATAATGCACATCATATAAAGGGCAGATTAGTCAATATACGGTTCAGAAATAATTATGTAATATTTATAAGAAAATTAAAAATTTAGATCCTTAACTCAGATAACAATCATCCAAATTAAAATTTGATTTCATTACATAATTTAAAATGACACCAGAATACTAGTAAAAATGTAGATAAGTTTATATAATCTTTTTTAGCTGTAGGACTTTATTAGCATAAATTCAAATACAGGAACCAAAGTAAAATTGAGACCTATAGTCAAAGGTTAAAATGTACACATTATAGGGGCATGATTAAACTAATTTAAAGCATGATAACATGGAGAAATATTGCAAAACATACATTTTACTGAATTAATTGTTAATACCTAATCATTATGTGAGAACAAAATTAGAGTAGCTACACACGCACACACCCACACACAAGTGCAATATTGTCAAATAAACGATGTTCAGCTACACTAGAAATCACACCTGTGTTTTCTCCACAGAAAAGATTAAAAAGCACAATAATATTTATTGTACATATGGAGGTAAAGATACTCAAAATATTACCCTAAAATACATTTTTTTTGAGATGGAGTTTTGCTCTTATTGTCCAGGCTAGAGTGCAATGGCACAATCTTGGCTCACTGCAACCTCAGCCTCCCAGGGTCAAGTAATTCTCCTAGCTCAGTCTCCCAAGTAGCTGAGATTACAGGCATGCACCACCACACTAGGCTAATTTTTTGGATTTAGTAGAGACGTGGTTTCACCATGTTGGTCAGGCTGGTCTCCAACTCCTGACTTCAGGTGATCTACCTACTTCAGCCTCCCAAAGTGCTGGGATTACAGGCGTGCCCCTGGCCAGCTTTTTGACATATTTCAAGATGGCTACTCGGAAGACTGAAGATAGCTTCTTCTACAAGAATAGCTGAAAAGCTCTGTTTGTTGGGGAGATTTGCATTTGTAGAGAAAAATCTACATTGATATAGACAGGCTTTCCCTGAGATACTCCCTTGTCTGGGTTTAGGAAAGATTAACTGAGCCTGGCACGTTTACATTTCTAAAAACCATTTCCTATCGATACTTCCCAATAGGAGGGCTGCTCCCTGTGAGGTTTCATCCATGTAACAAGACCACCTCTGCTGACAGGCTCCTCTTTCTTCCTTGTCGTCACCTGTCTTCCGCAAAGCCTGATTTACCAACCTACAGCTCTGTGTTTTCTGTAACCTCAAGACAGCATAGGCGTGTTGACTACCTTGCCTTTCCTGGAGTTTTTATATATATAGTATATATTTGTATATCTATTTATAATATACAAATATTTGTATAGATATATTTATATATATTATGTAAACTCCAAGTGCATACTTGTGCACATATCTGTAAACCTTTTTTTCCTGTTAAATTGTACATTATCAGTTTGTTTTGTAGACTCAAATAATTAAAGCTTCAAGGGAAAAATTTAAACTTTCCTATAGAGAAAAGACAAATATATAGGTGACAAATAATATTTAGACTGTAAGACGCTTTTTAAAGGTATATTTGCAATTTGTGGCAAAATATTTAAATATACATTTGTTATTTTAACTATAAAATTTCAAATTATTTAAGCCAAATACATAGTATATGCAGAAAATTTAGCAATATATCTATGTAGCACCTTACCGTACATTACTGTAACCAGCCATCTAATATAAAGAATTAATTAAGGTAGCTACTTTTCAAAGAGCGCATTTTTTTCACAGACCTATTAAATAAGACAAATAACATTTAAACTTTATTTTTAAATTTGCAGAATAGTAGTTTTCAGCAGATGGTTTATTTTAGCAAATTCCATCTTCACATTGTGCTATGCTTTTATGAGTTCCAGCTGTTAACGGATAATATTTTACTGCTGAAACTATCAAGTGTGATATAATTACTCATTATGTGCCTTAAAACACAAGCAGTATAATTATTTTCATCTTGGAGCAAATTAAAATCTTATCAGCAATTTAAAAACTCTAGAGTCGTCTTCTCCTGGTTAATTATTTTAAACTTGTATTTTTCTCTTTATGTGTTTAGTGAGTTGTCTTATCAAGGAGAAGAACTCAAGCTGATTGTTCTTTTTTTTCTCTTCCATCCACCTCGCAGGTGTGTTAATAATTTCATTTCTCAGAAAATGTTCTTTCATATCCATCTTACAAGATGAGAGACCTTTTAACATCTTCCATTCGGATGTGATACCAGTAATGGAAAATATTCCAGCTTCATGAATATGGTGATACAAATACTTATCCGTCTAACCTCTTTCAGTGTCAAATGTTTACTTTACTCAGTGAATTACTCAGTTGACTGGTAATTTCTTCTGAAATCACGAATGAGAGGATCAGAGGTCTGGCTGTTGTCTGTACCTCATATGACTCCCAGTGCAGACAATTGTTTCTATGGAGCACAGACAGTTGAAAGGATTGACTTCCTGCCTAGAATAGTTTCTGCTGTGCTTCTTATCCTTCTTGTGGAGATTTCAGATTATCTGAATTGCTTTTCTATCTTGAGAAAAAACGCAACAATTCTCCCACCTGAGAGGAATGTAAACCGTAGTAAGTTAGCAGAACCAATCCGTAAAATTTTTACATTGTTAGTTGCAAAATGCAGCGCTGGTGTCTCCATCACTAACCTTTTCTATCCCTCATTGCTCTTTCTTTGACTGCAATAGGATACCTCTAGGCAAATCTGTATTCCCGAGACAGAGTGCCCTTTTGGTGAGCTATAAGCACACTCAATGGTAGGCTGAAATACTAGCTTTTATCTATGGCAAAATGGAATCATATCAGTGATTTTTTTAAAGAGGAAATCTAACTCTTGCTATGGTTTGAATGCTTGCCCCTTCCAGTCTCATGTTAAAATTTGATCCCCAATGTTGCAGGTGGGGCTTACTGGCAGGTATTTGGTCATGGGGTTGGACCTTCATGAATGGATAATACCCTCCCTTAGAAATCTAAAGCTATCTTCCCTCCTCGGTGCCCTCAGGAATGAGTGTACCATTCTTTTTTTTTCTTCTTTTTTTTATTATACTTTAAGTTTTAGGGTACATGTGCACATTGTGCAGGTTAGTTACATATGTATACATGTGCCATGCTGGTGCGCTGCACCCACTAACTCGTCATCTAGCATTAGGTATATCTCCCAATGCTATCCCTCCGCCCTCCCCCCACCCCACCACAGTCCCCTGAGTGTGATATTCCCCTTCCTGTGTCCATGTGATCTCATTGTTCAATTCCCACCTATGAGTGAGAATATGCGGTGCTTGGTTTTTTGTTCTTGTGATAGTTTACTGAGAATGATGATTTCCAATTTCATCCATGTCCCTACAAAGGACATGAACTCATCATTTTTTATGGCTGCATAGTATTCCATGTTGTATATGTGCCACATTTTCTTAATCCAGTCTATCATTGTTGGACATTTGGGTTGGTTCCATGTCTTTGCTATTGTGAATAATGCCACAATAAACATACGTGTGCATGTGTCTTTATAGCAGCATGATTTATAGTCATTTGGGTATATACCCAGTAATGGGATGACTGGATCAAATGGTATTTATAGTTCTAGATCCCTGAGGAATCGCCACACTGACTTCCACAATGGTTGAACTAGTTTGCAGTCCCACCAACAGTGTAAAAGTGTTCCTATTTCTCCACATCCTCTCCAGCACCTGTTGTTTCCTGACTTTTTAATGATTGCCATTCTAACTGGTGTGAGATGGTATCTCATAGTGGTTTTGATTTGCATTTCTCTGATGGCCAGTGATGATGAGCATTTTTTCATGTGTTTTTTGGCTGCATAAATGTCTTCTTTTGAGAAGTGTCTGTTCATATCCTTCGCCCACTTTTTGATGGGGTTGTTTGTTTTTTTCTTGTAAATTTGTTTGAGTTCATTGTAGATTCTGGATATTAGCCCTTTGTCAGATGAGTAGGTTGCGAAAATTTTCTCCCATTTTGTAGGATGCCTGTTCACTCTGATGGTAGTTTCTTTTGCTGTGCAGAAGCTCTTTAGTTTAATTAGATCCCATTTGTCAATTTTGTCTTTTGTTGCCATTGCTTTTGGTGTTTTAGACATGAAGTCCTTGCCCATGCCTATGTCCTGAATGGTAATGCCTAGGTTTTCTTCTAGGGTTTTTATGGTTTTAGGTTTAACGTTTAAATCTTTAATCCATCTTGAATTGATTTTTGTATAAGGTGTAAGGAAGGGATCCAGTTTCAGCTTTCTACATATGGCTAGCCAGTTTTCCCAGCACCATTTATTAAATAGGGAATCCTTTCCCCATTTCTTGTTTTTCTCAGGTTTGTCAAAGATCAGACAGTTGTAGGTATGCGGCGTTATTTCGGAGGGCTCTGTTCTGTTCCATTGATCTATATCTCTGTTTTGGTACCAGTACCATGCTGTTTTGGTTACTGTAGCCTTGTAGTATAGTTTGAAGTCAGGTAGCATGATGCCTCCAGCTTTGTTCTTTTGGCTTAGGATTGACTTGGCGATGCGGGCTCTTTTTTGGTTCCATATGAACTTTAAAGTAGTTTTTTCCAATTCTGTGAAGAAAGTCATTGGTATCTTGATGGGGATGGCATTGAATCTGTAAATTACCTTGGGCAGTATGGCCATTTTCACGATATTGATTCTTCCTACCCATGAGCATGGAATATTCTTCCATTTCTTTGTATCCTCTTTTATTTCATTGAGCAGTGGTTTGTAGTTCTCCTTGAAGAGGTCCTTCACATCCCTTGTAAGTTGGATTCCTAGGTATTTGATTCTCTTTGAAGCAATTGTGAATGGGAGTTCACTCATGATTTGGCTCTCTGTTTGTCTGTTGTTGGTGTATAAGAATGCTTGTGATTTTTGTACATTGATTTTGTATCCTGAGACTTTGCTGAAGTTGCTTATCAGCTTAAGGAGATTTTGGGCTGAGACAATGGGGTTTTCTAGATATACAATCATGTCATCTGCAAACAGGGACAATTTGACTTCCTCTTTTCCTAATTGAATACCCTTTATTTCCTTCTCCTGCCTAATTGCCCTGGCCAGACTTCCAACACTATGTTGAATAGGAGTGGTGAGAGAGGGCATCCCTGTCTTCTGCCAGTTTTCAAAGGGAATGCTTCCAGTTTTTGCCCATTCAGTATGATATTGGCTGTGGGTTTGTCATAGATAGCTCTTATTATTTTGAAATACGTCCCATCAATACCTAATTTATTGAGAGTTTTTAGCATGAAGGGTTGTTGAATTTTGTCAAAGGCTTTTTCTGCATCTATTGAGATAATCATGTGGTTTTTGTCTTTGGCTCTGTTTATAAGCTGGATTACATTTATTGATTTGGGTATATTGAACCAGCCTTGCATCCCAGGGATGAAGCCCACTTGATCATGGTGGATAAGCTTTTTGATGTGCTGCTGGATTCGGTTTGCCAGTATTTTATTGAGGATTTTTGCATCAATGTTCATCAAGGATATTGGTCTAAATTTCTCTTTTTTTGTTGTGTCTCTGCCCGGCTTTGGTATCAGAATAATGCTGGCCTCATAAAATGAGTTAAGGAGGATTCCCTCTTTTTCTATTGATTGGAATAGTTTCAGAAGGAATGGTACCAGTTCCCCCTTGTACCTCTGGTAGAATTCGGCTGTGAATCCATCTGGTCCTGGACTCTTTTTGGTTGGTAAGCTATTGATTATTGCCACAATTTCAGCTCCTGTTATTGGTCTATTAAGAGATTCAACTTCTTCCTGGTTTAGTCTTGGGAGAGTGTATGTGTCGAGGAATTTATCCATTTCTTCTAGATTTTCTAGTTTATTTGCGTAGAGGTGTTTGTAGTATTCTCTGATGGTAGTTTGTATTTCTGTGGGATCGGTGGTGATATCCCCTTTATCATTTTTTATTGTGTCTATTTGATTCTTCTCTCTTTTTTCTTTATTAATCTTGCTAGTGGTCTATCAATTTTGTTGATCCTTTCAAAAAACCAGCTCCTGGATTCATTAATTTTTTGAAGGGTTTTTTGCGTCTCTATTTCCTTCAGTTCTGCTCTGATTTTAGTTATTTCTTGCCTTCTGCTAGCTTTTGAATGTGTTTGCTCTTGCTTTTCTAGTTCTTTTAATTGTGATGTTAGGGTGTCAATTTTGGATCTTTCCTGCTTTCTCTTGTAGGCATTTAGTGCTATAAATTTCCCTCTACACACTGCTTTGAATGCGTCCCAGAGATTTTGATATGTTGTGTCTTTGTTGTCGTTGGTTTCAAAGAACATCTTTATTTCTGCCTTCATTTCGTTATGTACCCAGTAGTCATTCAGGAGCAGGTTGTTCAGTTTCCAAGTAGTTGAGCGGCTTTGAGTGAGATTCTTAATCCTGAGTTCTAGTTTGATTGCACTGTGGTCTGAGAGATAGTTTTTTATAATTTCTGTTCTTTTACATTTGCTGAGGAGAGCTTTACTTCCAACTATGTGGTCAATTTTGGAATAGGTGTGGTGTGGTGCTCAAAAAAAATGTATATTCTGTTGATTTGGGGTGGAGAGTTCTGTAGATGTCTATTAGGTCCGCTTGGTGCAGAGCTGAGTTCAATTCCTGGGTATCCTTTTTGACTTTCTGTCTCTTTGATCTGTCTAATGTTGACAGTGGGGTGTTAAAGTCTCCCATTATTATTGTGTGGGAGTCTAAGTCTCTTTGTAGGTCACTCAGGACTTGCTTTATGAATCTGGGTGCTCCTGTATTGGGTGCATATATATTTAGGATAGTTAGCTCTTCTTGTTGAATTGATCCCTTTACCATTATGTAATGGCCTTCTTTGTCTCTTTTGATCTTTGTTGGTTTAACGTCTGTTTTATCAGAGACTAGGATTGCAACCCCTGCCTTTTTTTGTTTTCCATTTGCTTGGTAGATCTTCCTCCATGCTTTTATTTGAGCCTATGTGTGTCTCTGCACGTGAGATGGGTTTCCTGAATACAGCACACTGATGGGTCTTGACTCTTTATCCAATTTGCCAGTCTGTGTCTTTTAATTGGAGAATGTAGTCCATTTACATTTAAAGTTAATATTGTTATGTGTGAATTTGATCCTGTGATTATGATGTTAGCTGGTGATTTTGCTCGTTAGTTGATACAGTTTCTTCCTAGTCTCGATGGTCTTTACATTTTGGCATGATTTTGCAGTGGCTGGTACTGGTTGTTCCTTTCCATGTTTAGCGCTTCCTTCAGGAGCTCTTTTAGGGCAGGTCTGGTAGTGACAAAATCTCTCAGCATTTGCTTGTCTGTAAAGTATTTTATTTGTCCTTCACTTATGAAGCTTAGCTTGGCTGGATATGAAATTCTGGGTTGAAAATTCTTTTCTTTAATAATGTTGAATATTGGCCCTCACTCTCTTCTGGCTTGTAGGGTTTCTGCCGAGAGATCCACTGTTAGTCTGATGGGCTTCCCTTTGAGGGTAACCCGACCTTTCTCTCTGGCTGCCCTTAACATTTTTTCCTTCATTTCAACTTTGGTGAATGTGACAATTATGTGTCTTGGAGTTGCTCTTCTCGAGGAGTATCTTTGTGGAATTCTCTGTATTTCCTGAATCTGAACATTGGCCTGCCTTGCTAGATTGGGGAAGTTCTCCTGGATAATATCCTGCACAGTGTTTTTCAACTTGGTTCCATTCTCCTCGTCACTTTCAGGTACACCAATCAGACGTAGATTTGGTCTTTTCACATATTCCCATATTTCTTAGAGGCTTTGCTCATTTCTTTTTATTCTTTTTTCTCTAAACTTCCCTTCTCACTTCATTTCATTCATTTCATCTTCCATCGCTGACACCCTTTCTTCCAGTTGATCGCATCGGCTCCTGAGGCTTCTGCATTCTTCACGTAGTTCTTGAGCCTTGGTTTTCAGCTCCATCAGCTCCTTTAAGCACTTCTCTGTATTGGTTATTCTAGTTATACATTCTTCTAAATTTTTTTCAAAGTTTTCAACTTCTTTGCCTTTGGTTTGAATATCCTCCCGTAGCTCAGCATAATTTGATCGTCTGTAGCCTTCTCTCAGCTCGTCAAAGTCATTCTCCATCCAACTTTGTTCTGTTGCTGGTGAGGAGCTGCTTTCCTTTGAAGGAGGAGAGGTGCTCTGATTTTTAGAGCTTCCAGTTTTTCTGTTCTGTTTTTTCCCCATCTTTGTGGTTTTATCTACTTTTGGTCTTTGATGATGGTGATGTACAGATGGGTTTTTGGTGTGGATGTCCTTTCTGTTAGTTTTCCTTCTAACAGACAGGACCCTCAGCTGCAGGTCTGTTGGAATACCCTACCGTGTGAGGTGTCAGTGTGCCCCTGCTGGGGGTGCCTCCCAGTTAGGCTGCTCGGGGATCAGGGGTCCGGGACTCACTTGAAGAGGCAGTCTGCCGGTTCTCAGATCTCCAGCTGCGTGCTGGGAGAACCACTGCTCCCTTCAAAGCTGTCAGACAGGGACATTTAAGTCTGCAGAGGTTACTGCTTTTTGTTTGTCTGTGCACTGCCCCCAGAGGTGGAGCCTACAGAGGCAGGCAGGCCTCCTTGAGCTGTGGTGGGCTCCACCCAGTTCGAGCTTCCTGGCTGCTTTGTTTACCTAAGCAAGCCTGGGCAATGGCTGGCGCTCCTCCCCCAGCCTGGCTGCTGCCTTGCAGTTTGATCTCAGACTGCTGTGCTAGCAATCAGCGAGATTCCGTGGGTGTAGGACCCTCTGAGCAAGGTGTGGGATATAGTCTTGTGGTGCGCCATTTTTTAAGCCGGTCTGAAAAGCGCAATATTCAGGTGGGAGTGACCCGATTTTCCAGGTGCGTCTGTCACCCCTTTCTTTGACTCGGAAAGGGAACTCCCTGACCCCTTGCGCTTCCCAGGTGAGGCAATGCCTCGCCCTACTTTGGCTCGCGCACCGTGCGTGTACCCACTGGCCTGCGCCCACTGTCTGGCACTCCTTAGTGAGATGAACTCGGTACCTCAGATGGAAATGCAGAAATCACCCGTCTTCTGCTTCGGTCACGCTGGGAGCTGTAGACCGGAGCTGTTCCTATTCGGCCATCTTGGCTCCTCCCTCGAGTGTACCATTCTTTATTCACCTATAATTCCCCCACCCATCCTTATTGAGATATTAATTACATGTATGTTACACTGCTGCATATTGTCTGACGTATCAGTGAGTTTCTGGCTTTCTTATTTTAGTTTACCCTTTGTCCTTTAGTTTGTAAAGCTTCTATTTTTTTCTATAAATTTTCGGATGTTAGGGTAAAATCCATTACTTATACTATCTCATGGAATTTTTATTTCAAATATTTATTTTTCATCTATACATATCACATTTTTCATTTTATAACTTCTATTTTTCTCCTATGTTCAATTTTCATTTAAGTACCTTGACATATATATATGTATTTATCTATATGTATTTATAAAATATATTTACTTTAAGGACCTTGAAATTTCCTTCTTTTTCTGTCATTTATAAATGACTTATTTTTATCCTGTTAATATATAGCTTAATTATATATATCTTATGGCTTCTTGACATGTCAGAGTTTTTTTGGGTATTTTGATGTTATGCTATTGAATATCTAGATTTTATTGGCTGCCTTTGAACAATGTTGTGGCAGGCAGTTCAGTAACTTCAGGATGAGTATTTGTCTGTTGTTGTTTTAAATCTTCTCTTTAAACTTTGTGGAGTTAGTCTAGAGCCATCTGTAATTTGGAGCTAAATGAGCACTGTCACTAGGGCATGAACCTCCACTGGTCTTTACTGAATATCCTGGAGGTACAGAGGGGATTCCCTTCTCTGATTAGAATTTGGAATATAAAGAGAAAAGAGAAAAATAGAAAGCTATGCATAAACACGTGCATTAAAATGAATTTTATGTGGGCTTTTTCATGAAAATGTTCCTAAGGTATTTTATTTTTTTATTGTGGTAAAATTCACATAACATAAAATGTACTCTGTTAACCATTTTAAGTGTACAGTTCAGTGGTACTAAATATAGTCATAACATTGTGCAGCCATCCCTATCATCCATCTCCATAATTCGTTTCACCTTGTAAAACTGAAACTCTATACCCATTAAACAATACTTCCCTATTTGTTCCTCCCCCCAGCCTCTGGCAACCATCATTGTACCATCTCTATAATGCTAATCAAGCATAGTGGCTGTGTTTCTGGCTTCCTCTAGTCCACAGGTAGCATACAAATGTAATAAACTACTTATTCATGTCACATCTATTTATTTTCTGCCTTATACCAAGCTTGTGGGATTCTCTTAAATACAACATTTTTATACTTACACCTATGCCATACCCATTAGCATCGCCTTCCTAAATCAGGGGAAATTGAGCCTCTGTAAGGTGGAGTAACTTCCTAAGATATAAAACTCAGCATTGAAGTCTATATACTTCAATATCCTGCCCTCTTCTCATTTGTCTTTACTGCCTTTTATGTATGTGTTAGATGTTCAATAAATTCTCTTTTTTAAACTGAATTTAAGCCGTGGAGCAGTGTTTTGTTGAACAATAAATATGATATAGGACACTCTTCCTCCCTTTCATTTATGATCCTGTTCATGAAAAAGAGAAATTCTTTCATTGTGCTAGAAGCTTAAAATAATGAAAATGCCACTTTCTACATTAAACAGAAACTGAAGGGAATCAAGGCGAATTGCATGAGACATAGAAAACAAGTTGGAAAGAAATCTAGTATAATTTGCCCTTTGTGTACCTTTATTATTTAGCATTTGAGTAAATGAATCCCCCAAATATCTTCCCATCTTAATTCATGTCTCTAAAGGAGACATTTATGTCTCACCTTGTCAAGAAGGGCAAACTCTAACATAAACATTTCCCAAAAATGCTTCCTGCTAAAACGTAAGCTCAGTCTGGCTAGAAATGAAGCTCACTTCATAAAGATTAATTGGTAGATAATTTTGCATGCTGTTCTCTGAACTTGAGTGAAACCTGTCCATCAGGCATACAGGGAATGACGGAAAAGGTGACAACAGAAGATGAATGCTACGTCACTAACCTTCAAAGATGACCTGCCTTTTCTTTCAAATTCTTGATATCTTAAGACTTCATTAATTCATCTCTCTTTGCCCTTGGTTCAACATAGTGCTATGCCAAAACTCATGTAAGACAATGATCTAATGTAATAAAAATGGCATTTTTCTTTCATGTAGATGCAAGCTAACTGGCATTTTTACAATCCACATATTTCCTTTGTCAATTTTTCATTCTGTATTGGAAGTAATTGATAGGTATTTCTGAAGGGATGAAGGTGTTTCTGTGTTCATTGTGATCCAAACTATTTTTAGACCTAGGGGCGTTTGTAAAACAATTTGTGCCAGCTGACCAGGGATCACTGTGGCAGAAAGCAGCAAACTTGCATAAGATGTCACAGCCTCATAAGTTGGCTTTGAAAACTGGGGGCTTACTCCATAGTCTTATGAATCAAAGACATTGATAGATGTAGTATAAGATTATAATCATATTTTCCTTTTGACAGTCACATTATAAAGCATGATGTATTGCACTTAATCTCAGTTAGCTGATCACAATTAAAATTAATAATGTTTATTATAGCTGATAAACAATCATGACTCTCCTGTTCTCAAATGTGCAAGTAATTCTTGTAATTTTAATACAAATTTGCATATTATTATTAATCGATTTAATCTCATTGGATTTGGTTCATGGATCCAATTTATTAAAATATTGATAATAGGATAATGACTTGTCTACCCATTTCATGTGCACTAAAAACAACAATTCTTACAATGGTCTGCAAGCCCATCATGATCTGCCACATGTTAACCACCAAAATTCTTTTATATCTTCACCCCTGATCTTACCAGTGGTCCTGGCCACCTCACTGTCCTCTGGACATGCCAACAGGCTGCTGCCTTATGACCAAGACTCTAGTTAATTTCTTGCCTTGGAAAGATAGCCCTCCATATATCCATTCATCAGCTCATTCAACTTCCTCAAGTCTTTACTGAAACTTCACATTCTCGATGAGGCCTATTCAGTATTTCAAACTGCCTCCCAGCTGCAACATTCCAAAACCCCTTACTCTTCTGTGTATTTTTGAAAGGATTTATTGAGATATAATTTACATAGTGTAGAGTGCACACATTAATGTCTACAAGTCAGTGGCTTTTAGTATATGCACAGATAAGTGGAGCCATCATCACAATGAATTTTAGAGCATTTTCATCACTTCAAAAAGAATCCCCACCTTCTCTAGCTGTTAACCTCCTATACACCCATCCCCTACTCAATCCTAAGCAACCACAAATCTGTTTTCCATCTCTATAGATTTTCCTATTCTGTTTTCATCTAAATAGAATCATACAATAGGTGACCTTTTCTGCTTGGCTTCATTCAGTTGGCATAATGCTATCAAGGTTCATGTACGTATTGGTACTTTATTTCTTTTTATAGCTGTATAACATTCAATTTCATGGATAAAACATTTTGTTTATCTAATAATATTTTTATTGACATTTGAATTGTGTTCAGCCTTTGGCTATTTTAAATACTGCTGCTAAAAATACTTGTGTACAATTTGTGTTTGAACACCTCTTTCCAATAATCTGGGTGTATACCTAGGAATAAATTTCTGGGTCATATGACAATTCTATATTTAAAATATTTAGAAGCCATCAAATTACTTTCCAAAGTGGCCAGTTCTAGCCATAGAGTATCTAACTGTGGTTTTGATTTGTAGTTGCCTTATGAGTGATGCTATTGAGTATCTTTTTATGGGATTATTGACCGTTCGTGTATCTTCTTGGGAAACACATCTATTCCTATCATTTATCAGTTTTGAGTTGGGATATTTGTTACTGAGTTAAAACAATTTTTCTATATTCAAGATACATATATATACAGACATATAGATAGGTGTTTTTCAAATATCTTCTCACAATTTTTGAGCTGCCTTTTGACTTGCTTGGTTGTCCTTTGAAACACCAATGTCTTTAATTTTTAAGAAATTTTAAATATCTAATTTTTATTTTGTTGCTCATGTTTTTGGTGTTACAGCTATTTCTTTGCTAGATCCAAAATCCTGAAGATTTTCCCATATGCTTTATTCTAGCTCTTGCCTGTGTGTCTTTAATTCATTTGAGTTAATATTTTTGTATGCTTTGGGGTAAGGGTTCGAATTTATTATTTTGCAAGTGGGGATCCACGTGTACGTTGTTGACCCAGTTTGTTCAAAGACTGTCTCTTCCTCATTGAATTGCACATGGCACCACTGTAAGAATCCATTGACTATAGACACATAGTTTTACATATGGACTCTCAATTCTCTTCCATCAATCTATATATTTTTCCTTCATCAGTATTGTGCTGTCTTGATTACTGATACTCTGCAGTAAGGTTTGGAGCATGGGGGTGTGAATTATCCTATGTTTTCTTTTTTCAAGATTATTTTGGCTATTTTGAGTCCCTTACAATTCCACGTGTATTTTAGAATCAGCTTGTAAGTTTCTAGACAGAAGTCTGTTGGGATACTTGCAGGGATTTCATCAAATCTGTAGTTCAAATTGTAAAGTACTACAATATTAAATCTTCCAATTCATGGCTGTAAGATGTTTGCTAATTATTTAGATATTCTTTAAACAATAATTTTTAATTTTCAGAGTAAACTCTTGTATCACATTTTCCAAATTAATTATTATTTCTTTTTTTGATGCTATTTTAAATTGAAGTTATTTCTTAATTTCATTTTGGGGTTTTCATTGTAGATGTGTGCAATTGATTTTTGTACATTTATCTTGTATGCTGTAATATTGCTGAAATAATTTACTAGTTCTATCGTTCAGTGGATTCCTTAAAATTTTCTATATACAAGAATGTTATTTTCAAATAAAGTTTTATTTCTTCCTGTTCAATATGGGTGACTCTTATTTTTTTAGTTGCCGATTTGCCCTGCATAAAATCTTTAGTACAGTTTTGACTAGAAGAGGTCAAAATATATATCCTATTCTTATCTCTGACCATAGTGGGAAAGCATCCTTTACCATTAAGTTGCATGCTTGCTGTTGGCTTTTCACAGGTGCCACGCATCTGGTGTAGAAAGTTCTCTATTCCTGGTTCATTGAGTTTTTATTTTTATTTTTAATCATTAAAGCATTTGGATTTTGTTAAATGTCTTTTCCGAATCTATCGAGATGATCATGCAATTCTCGTTTCTTATTCTATGGATAAGATGTATTACCTTAATGGATTTTGGGCTGTTAAACCAACCTGGGATTACTTGTATAAATTTCACTTTGTCATTGTGTATAATTCTTTTATATGTTGCTAGATCTGATTTGTTAGTATTTTTTAAGGAATTTTGCATTTATACTTATAGTAGTTTTATTTTTCTATGCTATTTTGACTAATTTTTGTATCAAGGTAACACTGGCCCCACAGAATAAATTGGGAAGTGAATATTTCTCTAAAAAAGTTAGTCAAGAATTAATATCAATTATTCAACACTAACAAATATTATTATTATAAATTATTAATTTCTCTAATTTTTATTTTCTTCCTTCTGCTTGCTTTAGGTTTAGTTTGCTATTCTTTCCAGTGCCTTCATGTGGAAGGTCATCTTATCTCATCCTTTCATTTGTCTTTTCATATTCTAAATAGTGTCTTTTTAGCATCAGGTGAGCTCCCCAGTTTGGTAGTACTCCATGTTTATTGCTGTACAACAATGACAGGTAATATGTCCTGAAGACAATGGAAACTTAACATTCAAAATCTCCTAGATTCTACCTTATATGCTATGTCTCTTCAATTGGTCCTAATTTCTACCCTTTCTCTATTATAAACCATGAGTACAATGGCATTCAATGAATTCTGTGAGTCTTTCTAGTAAATTCTTGAAACTGAGGGTATTCAGGGGAAACCCCTGAACTGGCAGTTGGTGTCAGAAGTGAGAATCCTCTTATATGGCCTCTTCCTTTGAACTTTGCAGCTGGACGCAAACTCTGCAGAATTTGGGCCAGAAGTCTCGCGATGACTTTGCAGCCTAAAGTATCTTGTAGTTTGTCTAACCCTCAATAAATTTGCTTTCATCAAATATTGTATTTGCTACCCCAAAATTACCATCACGTTTTTTTTCTCCAAATAACTAACGTTGGGAGAAATAGCCAGCTGAGTCTGTAACTCAACAGAAACAAGTGATCCATATACCATATACCATATAAGTGGCCATTTCATATTGCCTTCTGCCACCAAATCTTAGCAACCTCAACCATTGCCATGAGCCACTGTAGGCCTACGAGCTACAAACAAGTATCTTTTAAAAACACTTCATACTCCCATTTGATAAATTTCCCATCAAAGAGATGCCTACTTTATGCAACTGGCTCATATTCACGAAGTCTGTAGATATTATTCATGTAGTGTGAGAAAATCATCCCAGCAATGCCAGCACATTCTCCTTCCCATGATCTGCTTAGTTCGCAAACATATTCTGGCCATGGGTGAGAGATTTGTATTTCACTGTACAACAATTTTATGGAGGGCATTGAAACTTACCTTGAGCATTTTAGTACAGTCACACATCACTGAATGATAGGGATACGTTCTAACAGACGTATCCATAGGCAATTTCATCATTTTGCAAACATCACAAAGAATATTACAAACACCTAGATTCTACAGCCTACCACCTCTAGGTTATATGGTATAGCCTCTCTCTCCCAGGCTACAAACCTGTGTACTACATTACTGTACTGAATACTGCAGGCAATAAGAACACAGTGGTAAGAGGTTATGTATCTAAACATACTTAAACGTAGAAAAGTATGTAAAAATATGTATTATAATCTCATGGGACCACTTTTGTATATGTAATCCATCTTTGACTGAAATGTTATTATGCATGACATGACTCTATGACAAAAATAAAATAACACATTGTAAAAAATGTACACAGGTATCAAACATATTAATATTGTAAAAATAAAAATATTTATTCAGTATAAGAATTTGTAATGATCACAAAATGTTCACAGCTTATATTTTAGTACAGTTTCAAATGCCTAGTGCAATTACTATTTATTTCTGTGTGTGTTTTAAACATGTATATAATAAATATTTTTCAGGTTCAACAGTATATATCAATCCAACTGGCTCTTATAAATATTAGTTAAAATCAATTAGTAAATTCATATATATATATACACACGTGTATCAGTCTGTATGCATGTATGTGTGTGTAAATGTAACTGTATGTGTGTGTAAATGTAACTGGATGCATCCTAATATTTACCCTTACCAACAAGATTCCCAAGATTCATTTATTATCTTTAGATGATGTGCATTTAAAGATTTACCAAATAAAACTGTAATCGTGGAAAATATCAAGATGTTATTAAATTCATGTTGTGCACATAATTGTTTCTTTAAATTTATGTTTCTTGCAAAACTTGCGGTAATGCTCATGCACAAAATAATTTTCTAAATAAAAAATAAAAACATTTTCTCAGTCATTAATTCTTAATTATTATTTCTCCCCAATAATTAATGTGAATTAATTCTTAATTCTTAATTATAGAATAATGTTGCCCTTCAGAGTTCTGAATCTTTTGCATGTTGTATACATTTTACTAACTAGAACAACTTCTGGAATATTGGCATTAATTACTGTCACTCAGCAATTAATGATTTCAAAGAAATTAAATACCATTCATATTCTGAATCACAAGGATACTTTGGCATGTAATTTCTTCAAGCTCTTTGTATCATCATCTACACTTTAATTACTTAACAAACATTTTTCTGTGTGAGAAAGATTGAGCAGGTTATTGTGCTTTTTTAAGATGCAACTTTTGCTTAATCTAGAGATAGGCAATGCTCCCTATAAGGGACAAAGAGAAAAATGAAAGAGCAATAGAGATGTGACAGGCATGGAAAAAGACAATACATTTATAAAACAAATAGGGCCACAGATGATGATAATGAGGATCAAATCTTGAGATACTGACTCAGTTTATAACTCACTGTACAATAGAGCAAATCATTTGTTAATTTTTTTACAAATGGAATTTAATTTAATTAAGATGAATACAGTGTTTTAAACCAGGCAGGTCACCTTAAAATAAAGTAGTGGAATAAAGTGATAAAACCAATGTAAAAGTCATAAACATTTTATAAAGAATTTTTGTCATGTAATTTAATATTTTTATTTAAAATCACCCAAATCAAAATAATTTTATCTTAATTAAAAAATAATCATCAGAAGTTAACTAATTTTTACTTTATAATACTAGGTTTAAAAATTCTTAACTATATTTTTAATCATATATGCTTATACATAAAATAGACATAGGGTATATGTTTACATGTTCACAATATTATATTGTAATTGTTCCTATGGAATGGAATGGAATCATTGAATGGAATTGAATGTAATCACCAATGAAGGGAATCAAATGGAATCATCGTCAAATGGAATCAAGTGGAATCATCGAATGGAATCTAACGGAATCATTGTCGACTGGAATGGAATGGAATCAATTAATGGAATTGAATGGAATCACCAATGAATGGAATTGAATGGAATCCTCATCGAATGGTTTCAAATGGAATCATCAAATGGACTCGAATGGAATCATCAGATGGCATTGACTGGAATCATCATCGAATGGAATCATCGAATGGAATCGAATGCAATCATCATCAAATGAAATCGAATGGATTCATGGAATGGCATCGAATGGCATCATCATCCAATGGAATCAAATGGAGTGATTTAACGGAATCGTGTGGAATCATCATCGAATGGAATTGAGTGGAATCATCGAATGGACACGAATGGAATCATCAATGAATGGAATCAAAAGGAATCATCATCAAATGGAATCGAATAGAATCATCATATAATGGAATTGAATGGAATCATAGAACGGAATAGAATAGAATCATCATCGAATGGAATTAAATAGAATCATCAGATAAAATTGAATGGAATAATCATCTAATGGAATCGAATGGAATCATCATCAAATGGAATTGAATGGAATCATCATCGAATGCAATAGAATGGAATCATCATCAAATGGAATTAAATAGAATCATCGAATGAGATTGAATGGAATCATCATCGAATGTAAACGAATGGAATCATCATCGAATGGAATCATCATTGAATGGAATCAAATGGAATCTTCAACAAGTGGAATCGCATGGAAACCTCGAATGGAATCTAATGGAATCATCAGCACATGGAACCGAATGGAATCATCATGGAGTGGAACCAAATGGAATCATCATCGAATGGAATCCAAAGGGATCACTGAATTGAATGGAATGATCATTGAATGCAATCGAAGGGCATCATCGAATGGGATGGAATGGAATCATTCAATGGAATCGAATGGAATCATCAAAAGGATTCGAATGGAATCATCATCAAATGGAATTGAATGGAATCATCGAATGGACTCAAATGGAATCATAATCGAATGGAATCGATTGGATATATCGAATGGACACAAAAGAAATCATCATTGAATGGAATTGAATGGTATCATTGAATGGATTCGAATGGAAACTTCATGCTATGGAATCAGATGGAGCCATTGACTGGCATCGAATTGAATCATCAGTGAATGGAATCTAAGGGAATAATCGAATGGAACAGAATGGAATCATCGAATGGACTCGAGGGGAATCATCATCGAATGGAATCATCGAATGGACACGAATGGAATCATCTTCGAATGGAATCGAATGGAATCATCGAATGGACTCGAATGGAATCATCATCAAATGCAATCTAATGGAATCATCGAATGGACTCGAATGGAATCATCATCAAATGGAATAGAAAGGAATCATTGAATGGAATCGAATGGAATCATCATTGAATGGAATGGAATCGAATCATTGAATGGACTTGAATGGAATCATCACCGAAAGCAATTGAATGGAATCTTCGAATGGACTCGATTGAAATCATCATTGAATGCAGTCGACTGGAATCATCATCGAATGGAATCGAATGGAATCATCATCAAATGGAATGGAAAGGAATCATCCAATGGAGTAGAATTGAATCACCATTGAATGGAATCAAATAGAATCATCAAATGAAAACGAATGGAATCATCATCGAATGGAATTGAATGAAATCATCATTGAATGGAATCGAATGGAATCATCATCGAATGGAATCGAAAGGAACCATTGAGTGGACTTGAATGGAATCATCATCAAATGAAATCGAATGGAATCATCGAATGGCATTAAATAGAATCATCAATGAATGGAATCTAAGGAACAATTCAATGGAATTGAAAGGAATCATCAAATAGACTCGAGTGGAAGCATCATCGAATGGAATCGAATGGCATCATCGAATGGAATCATCATCGAATGGCATCGAATGGAATCTTTGAATGCACTCGAATGGAATCATCATTGAATGCAAACGAATGGAATCATCATCGAATGAAATCGAATGGAATCATCATCGAATGCAATTGAATAGAATCATCCAATGTAGTAGAACTGAGTCATCATCGAAAGGAATTGAATAGAATCATCAACGAATGGAATCGAATGGAGAAATCGAATGGAATCCAATTTAATTATCATCGAATTCAACCCAATGGAATCATTAAATGGACTCGAATGGAATCATCATCGAATGGAATAGAATGGAATCATCGAATGCAATCGGATAGAATCATCAAATGGACTCCAATGGAATCATCATCGAATGGAATAGAATGGAATCATCGAATGCAATCAAATGGAATCATCATCGAATGAAATCAAATGGAATCATTGAATGGACTCGAATGGAATCATCATCGAATGGAATTGAAAGGAATCATCAAATGGACTTCAATGGAATCATTGAATGGACACGAATGGAATCATCATTGGATGGAATTGAATGGAATCATCGAATGGACACGATTGGAATCATCATCGAATGGAATCAAATGGAATCATCATATGGAATCGAATGGAATCGTCATCGAATGGAATCGAATGGAATCATCATTGAATGGAATCGAAAGGAATCATCATCAAATGGAATCTAATGGAATCATCATCGAAAGGAATCTAATGACATCATCATCTAATGGAATCTAATGGAATCATCAATGAAAGGAATCAAATGGAGAAATCGAATGGAATCCATTGGGATCATCATCGAATGGAACCGAATGCAGTTGTCATCGAATGGAATCCAATGGAATCATCATCGAATGAAATGATGTCAGGAGTTAAGACCTTTGATGATGCCATGCACCATCACCAGTCTTTACCTCTTGAATGGGCTTGCACATGGCTGCTCCTGTACTGCTGAAGTCCAGTGCCAGTAGTTTATGTTTCCCTATTATTTCATCAGCCCAATACAAATTATTGTCAAAATTACACCTGGAGGTGATAACAGGAAAATAATCTTCTCAGTAAATGCATATTTTGTGAGTCTCAACTTCCAGAAATTGGTCATCGAACAGTATGAGTTAGTGTCTTTCTATCTTGGTTGTCACCTTTATTATATTGTAGGGGTCTGAGGTGTGTAGAGTGAACACCTCAGAGTTCCGGTTGCCCTTGTGGGTTTTGCTACATAAACCCTTTCAAAGCACACATGCCTGATTGCAGAAATGAATATTGTCCCGACAATCAATATAGAATTCTGGATCATTCTTCCCTTTACTTTTCCTAATAGCTTCTGCTAAGCTTGCGATATTCTGTGGGATTATATCACATGTATCTGTCATCTGAAATGTGATGCAAGGCACTTCTATCAAAAAGGCCCTTGTCATGCCAGAGACAACAAATCCTAGACTGAGGTAATCCACATTTCTTATTGTTCTGTAAGTGAGCACTGTCACAGAATAATCAAGATTTTGGTCTTTTAAGGCCAAAATAAGTTGAAATGCCTCAAGGCCAAAATAAGTTGAAAAATGCCTCATGAAAATGCCTCAAGGCCAAAATAAGGTTAAAAATGCCTCATGAAGAAGTGTTCCTGGGATCTCTTCATTTAGTTTTTGAATTCTCCGCAGAATAAAACATAATGAAAGTCCTTTATTTCCATTCTCATCGTATCACTCACTCTCATCTCAGATGTGGACTTGTTTCTCTTTCCTGAAATCCAATATACTTGGAGTCATAAGGCAAATATTTAGCTATTTCAGATGTGTTGCCTAGAACTATTCATGGAGGCACTTCACCAGGGTTTCCAAGCACCAAATTGTGATATTTGCTTCCACGTTTCCTAGAAACAAGTTATCATGAGGTTGTGTTTGTTTACTATACATGAACACAATCTGTTCAAGTCTTAATAAAATGGAGCCATATTTGTTTGCAAAGAACCCACACACTTCACAGTGGCTTTCTGTAGATAGATTTGATGAACTTTATATATATATTCATTTCCCTCTCCAGATTTTTGAAAACTATCAATTTGCCCGTCTTTGGTGAAAAAACAGCTTTTCCTTCTATCTTTCTGCAACTTGTGGCCATGACAAATGCCATTTGCAAAAAACAGTCTAACAGCACTGGATCGATACGCTATTCATACATTACTCTCTGGATATCTTCATTGACCTTGCTTGTTGTTATGCCATCCTTTAGCTCATTGCAGAATAAAAAAGTGGCTTTTAACTGTTTGAAAATGATATCATAGTAAAATCCAACATGGAAGAGACATTCAGAAAGTTCATCAGTGTTTGAAATCAACTTACACTTTCTAGCAACTCTAGAAGGCATCTTCTTTCTTTAACTTAAGAATTTTGTAGATGGCAACTATATTAAAACTCTTTCAAGGTGTCTTGTAGTGATTACGGATTCACGTCTTTGTATCTTGAATGATTTTTAATCTCTTTTATTAAGTCTAACATGATTTGGCAAACCAGTATCTCAACAGGGGAACCAAATCTGCCTTGGAACTATACATTAAGTTTAAAATAAACTATTTTTCAACTTACTAGAAATACTAAAAATAAACAGCCCTTGACTCAAAAATCTTCCCTGGCACCACATCTGCATTTATACCCTCTTTCATTGTCATCTTGTGAAATGATATATTACCCAATTTTGCTGGTAAAAACTAATTAGAACATTTATATTTAAATCGTGCTTAACAGTTTACAGAAGTATTTTTCATTTTCTTCTTGTACCCAGTGGCAGAATTTTATGATTCTGAAGCACTTAGACTCTCATCATCTTTTTGCAGAAAAGTAAAACAAAACTAACAATATGATTTTTAAAATCAGCAACTAGGATTTTGTAATTTATGTATTAAAACAAGCATTTAATTTGTTCTCTTTTAAGCTATTTGGCTGCAATGCTTTCTTAAAAACTTTAGATCTGCTCTTCTGTGATGTGTTGGGACATGAACCCAGATAAAGAAAGAAGGTTAAGGCCTCATTTAACATGGGTCTATTATTACTTTTCTGTGCATTAAGATCATAAAAACACCATCAAAACTATAAGCCAAAGTGAATTGACTGAATTTTTAATGACAATGAGACACAAAAAACTAGTTACAATTTACTTATTTATTTTTGTTAAAACAAATATTTTATAATTTTTGTAATCTTTTCAAGAGACAGGGTCACGCTATGTTGCCCAGGCTGCAGTGCACCGTCATTTCACACTACCACCTTGAACTCCTGGGCTCAAGCAATCTTCCTGCCTCAGCATCTGGAGTAGCTGGGACTACAGTTGTGTGCCATTGCACCCAGTTTTTGTAATTTTCCAGTGGTTGAAAGATGGTCAAACCTTAGACAAAGTTCTTAAAATAAGTCAAACATAGTTGAACTATTTTTTTCCTTACCAATTCTATAATTGATATACCTTGTCATTATTGGATTCACTTTGAGATTCCCAGAAATGGACTCCTACTATGAGTGAAGTCGCATGTTGATGTTACCTATCTGGGGTGATCCAGAGTGTTCTTGGTTGTCTTCTTCAAAGAAAGAATTCACTCAAAAGACCAATTAGTAAAGCAGGCAAAAGTTTTATTGGGGAAGTAAAAGTACACTCCAACAGAGGAGTGGGCTGACCCTGCTGGAAACAGCCCCGGGACATTCTGCATTCGATATTCTATGGTCTTGCTTCTTTCCTTGTCCAGTTCTCACCAAGGCTTGGGGGGATCATCCCTTACTGTGGTTCATGTACATGCACTGGACGCAGTGATCAATACAAATTCCACCCGATGGGGACGTTGCTCATTACTGCCACCCGGGAAGGTCATATAGCCATCAAATTTGTACTCATTGCACCTGTGTGGCTCTCAAGAATTCTGCTTTTGCCTTTTTTCTCCCTTATCAGGATCTAGTTAGCCACATTTTGAGTTTGACCATAAAGTGAGTACTGGGCATCTTAAGAGGTGGTCTGGGCTGTTCCTTCCAACATGGGTACCTCCCCTCCTGCCTGCTAATATCTGACTAACTGCCCCCTTTCACGTTTATTCCTTAAGGAGTTGGGACCCAGAAATCTTTTGGGAAATAGGGTGGAGGTCATTCTTCTGTAGCTACTTCCTGCTGAAAAGGGGCGTCGAGGGTCTTCTGGTCCCTCCTCCTTGCTTGCTGTCATGGCAAGAGGGTTTCAGAGGTTGTTGTTGTCTCTCAAAAGGTTTGACCCACAGTGTCCAGAGGAGACATACAGAAACTTGGTTGTCCTCAAGGGCAGGAAAGAGGTTGATATCCTTGTCACAAGACCATTTGAAGTCTGACGGCGTCTAGATGGGATAAAATAAACTTACTTAGTAGATTCAAGAAGCAAGACCCAGAAAAGAGAAGAAGGAAGATAGAGGTCAGGGGTCCCAGGAAGGGGAGGAGCCATGAGAATCAGAACCAGGTGACACCCCAGTAGCCCCTTCCCAAAGGTGAGAAGCCTAGTTTATGAGATCTCAAATGTGCTCCTGAGCCTGCCCTGATCTCTTAACCCAAATCAGCACTCTTCTCCAAGCACAGCCAAGTTCCTCCCTGAGCTGCAGCCAGCATGTCAAGACCTCTACCATGTTTGAGAACTATAGCTGCGAGAGAACTGACTTGCCACTGTAACTCTGTTACAGCAACTAGTCGTTTCTATCCCTTGGGCCAATTCCAGAGACAGGCTGTGGTAGGTTCAGGAGTAAGTGCCAATGCTGGCTATTCCCATCATGGCACCTGTGGTGATGCCAAGCCCAACGAGAAAGGGAATTAATTGAATTGCTTGGTGGGCCCCAGTGTGAGGTTATAAATAAGAGCAAGGGCAGAGAAGCATCACCTGGGGCAATGAGATGCTAGGGGTGAGGTAAGCCAGCATGCGTGTTCTGGTCCAGTTTGCAGAGAGGCAGAGGTGGGCCTGTGTCCCACATAGAAAACAAAGTTCTGTCATACGTAGACAAGAATGGATACGGAAGGAGGCAAGGTCAATTCCAAACATTACCATTGTTGGCTACGCAAGATGTGATATTCTGTCACTAAAGTTGCAGCTGCTAGGGGAGCCAGACATGAGTGAGTAGTTTGAATAGGAGGATGGTTCTTATTTTCCCAGAAGAGCATGTGTCTAGTAATGTCAAGGAAAAGAGCCTCCAAAGGGAGTTAAAGATTTGAAATTTTTGCATGACCACTACTGGCTTGGTAAGGTAGAGAACCTTACTTGGTATTGGGAGATTTCAGTTTCTAGAAAAAAAGAAGTATGAGAGGTATTGACAATGGTGATGGTTGTGTTGCAGTGCGCAGGGTTGAGAGAACCCACCAAAGTTCCAGAATCTGTGGCAGTAGTGATGCCTAGGAGTACCTGACTGATGGTGAAGGGGGAAAACAAGGGGCCTAAAATAGTGCAAGTGGGCTTAAGAAAAGCCTGAAAGTCCCCTTTGCTTGTGTTAGGTACTGTATGCATCTCTGGGAAGGTTTTGTATAGAGAAGCCTCAGTGATAGGTGAAGCTAAACTGGGCTTGAGAAGTTTTCTATTCTTGTATCGTGGCTGGGTAGGCTGTTCCTGCCCTGGATAGAAATAATTCATGCTTAGCCCATAGGTTGAGGGATAGGAAGATTTGGTGAACTTCGGTAGTTGTTGAGCTTCTTGTAGATTTTTTTTTATATATAGTTGTGGGCTGTTGGGGCCTATGAGGGTGATTTTAGCTAGAAGCATTAGTGAGCATAGAGCATTTGGCTGCATGGTCCCAACAAGAACAGATTAGAGCCAAATCAAGATGTCTGTTGATTATGGAAAAAGAACTTGTTAACTCAGTGAGTATTAGAGAGAACACCACCCAGATTATTGCTTTGAGATTTAAATCCAGGTAGGGAAGAACAGACCTTTTCCTGGCAGTGGGTGGGGGGTGGTATTGGTTCACAGTAGCAAAGACATATTAGTAAACCTGCAAGGAGTATTACGATTCATGGTATAACAATCCAAAGCATTACTAATTTACTTATCTTTATTCTTTTGGCTTTGCTTGAAGAGGAGTTTGAGACCCTGGAGGGGCTCAGTGGTCCAGGTGTCCAGTGGGACCTTTACGACTTCCTCTGCCAGAGATGAGTCATACAGCTTTACCTTGGAATAGTGGACCCACCTGGTGATCCCTGGCACCATAACTGCTGTAGGAGCGGAGAGCAAATCAGTATAAGGACCTCTCCAAATAAAACTCAGTTGAGAGTTTGGAGTTCCATACTTCCAAGTCTTGATGAGAACTTGAGTTCTCATCAACTTGGAGGGTATAAAATTTGGTCAGAGTTTTCACGATGTGAAAATATCTTTTGGCCTAGTTTTTGAGCCCCCTGCTGAGACTGGGATAGGAAAGTAACATAATTAGTGAGTTGGTAAGTTTCAGTATCCAACAGGAAAGCAAAGAAAGGATCTTCCACATAATAACTCGGAAGAACTGAGTTGTAAGTTAGAGGTGGGTATGTTTCTCAGCCTTAGTAGAGCAATACGTAGTAGCTCTGGTCATGGCTTTGAGGTTTCCTGGCATAATTTTTCCAAGGTTTGCTTGAGAGTTTGGTTAATTCTATCAACCATTCCAGAGTGTTGTGGATGCCAAGAGGAATGTAGAAAGTAACTGATTCCCAAGTCCCGAGAAACAAGTTGAGTAAACTGTGAGGTGAAGGATGTACTGTTATAACTTTGCAGCGACCTGGGAATGCCAAACCGGGGGATGACCTCCATGAGGAGGGCCTTTACTACCCCCACTGCTTTTTCCATTCACACAGGTAAGCTTCTATCTAACCTGGAAAGGTGTCTACAAAGATCAGAAGATATTTTATACAGGCAGGAAGTTGGTTTGAGTCAAACTGCCAGTCCTCCCCAGCATAAGTACTCCTCCATTGGACTGGCTGGAAAAGAAAAGGTTTGGCTCCTTGTGGGATGTTTAATGTGCAAAGGGCACAGGCCCTGCAAACTTGTTCAAGAGTCTTGGAAAGAGTTTTATTCCCCAAAAGAGCCATTTGCACATTATTGAAAGCTTTTTGTTGCCAAAGTGGCAGGAGTCATGCAAAACATAGCTAACTTTCCATTGAACATTTTAAGGCAGATGTAGGACCTCTCTCAGTTGATACCAGCCTCCAGGGCCTCGTGTCCCAGTGCCCATTCCTATTCCTCTGGTGAGTACAAGGGGCTGGTGGCTTTGGATCCTCAGTGGGAGGATGAATTAAAGGAGGCTGAGGATGCTCTGCTGGGAAATTTCCTAAGCCATTTATAGGAGAATTATCCACTGAGGGGCTCACAAGAGCCAAAATAGCAGGGTCTAGTTTGCATTTTTGGCAGAGATTCTGATCTTCTTTTAAAGCCATAAAGGCCTGGACATAGGGTACCTCTGACCATTTACCCTGTGACCTGCAAAGTAGGTCCAACTGCAAGATGGTATTAAAATTAAGGCTACCATTTTCTGGCCAGCCTTCCTACAGTCACATAGCTTTGTATTGAGGCCATGCAGAGTTACAAAAGAAAACTACTATCTTTTTTCTTTAATGTCTGGGGATCAATCTTGTCCTAACTTTTGAGAATGCATCCAAGGAGTGAGTCCTACAGCGTGGAATGTTGAATGTCCGTCTGAAAAACAGAGAGAAGTAAAGGCCAGGGGAGAGTGAGCATCCTCGCTCTCTGTCCATTCTCATCCATTATGAAACGGGAAGAGCATCCTCTCCATCTCTTTCCCACACTAGGCCATGCAACCCTAGCCTGTGAGGAGATTCACACTTCATGCACCCTTACTGCATGCTCCCAACCGAGCAGTGACCTCTTTCTCTCATTTGATCTGTTGACCCCCCAGGTCCATAGGTCTCACCTCTAATTATAGATGACTGTGCCTAATTATAATTTCATAGCTTTTTGTGATAACCCTCTGCATACAGGCAAAGCATGTCAAGGCCAGTGCGGAGGGCCAGAGACAAGAGGGAAGTTGATTGGTAAATCCCGGAGAATTCAGTGGTAAGAACATGGAAAGAATATTGGGTACTAGCCACATCCAGGAGACCCCTAGACCGAGACCACAGCACCCAAAATTTACCTAAATTCCTTCTGGAGGTGGAATTAGTTCAGAGGAGACAGTGACAGAGCATTCAAAAAGTCACTCTATTGGAGCTTATCTGGGAAGAGAGAGGACAAAGTAGGTGGCATTGGCTAGCAAGAGAGATGCTGCGATGGCATAGGCAGCAGGACCAACTGTGAGGAAAGACAGGGTGGTGAGTCCCCGAAAGTCAGTTGTGAGAATGTGGAAGGGATCAGAAGCCTTAGGGTCTCTGTCAAGAAGAAAGCATTCTGTGCCTGGAGGGGCTCTGTTGGGCATTAGGTGGACATGCTCCAGCTTAGCACACAAAGCAGAGATGCCAGGGAGCTTGATCGGCATGCTCAGCATTCTCATAGTCTATGCTGGATAGGAGCAGACATGTGAGAGGAGACAGCAGGGAGCATAGCCCTTACCTCACAACAGGATGCGAGTCACAACACCGAGAGATGTTGTCAAGCCTGGAGTTCCAGAAAGTGTCCTCCATTCTTGTCTTCCTGCAAGAAAGAATTCAGCCAAAAGATCAGTTAGTAAATCTAGCAAAAAATGTATTGCAGAAGTGACAGTACGCTTTAAGAGAAGAGTGGGCCAACTTGGCTGGAAGCAGCTCCAATACATTCTGCATTTGATCTTTTTCCTCACTTTCTTCTTTGGGTTCCTGCCTGTGTTCTTGCCCAGTTCACACCCAGGCTTGGGGGACCCTCCCTTACTCTTGGTTAATGCACATGTGCAGAACCCAGTGATCAAGACAAATTCTACCCAATGGTGGTGTTGCTCATTACTGCCACCCAGGAAAGTTGTATAGCCATCACATTTGTACTCACTGTTTCCATGCAGCTCTTAAGAATTCCCCTTTTGCCTTTCCCCTTCTTTATCTGAATGTAGTTAACACATTCTGACAGTTCAACCATAGAATGAGTGATCACTGAGCACCTTAAGAGTCGTTTTGGGGCGTTTCTTCCCACATAGCTACCTTTGCTCCTGCCTGCTCATATCTGACTAACTGTCTACCCTAACAGTTGGATTGCAAGGTTCTTGTTCAATTGAACCTTGAAACATTGAAAGGGTCATGTCCCAGGGAGATGGGAACCCTGTGCAGTTTTACATGCAATTCTGAGTAGGAAGAACAGAATGGATTCTGTTTGGTCACATTTGCTATTTAACTACTTTTGATATCATTGCCATCTTAGCCATAAATCATTCAAGTGATGGTAAGATAGACATAAGTGAACTTCACTTTACGAATTCAAATATTGCTTTAAGTATTTAAAAATTGCTGTACGATTGCACAGCAACGGGCACATTTTACAACAATTGATATTAAAATGCTAAAAGTACAATAGCAATTAAGGATGTATTCATGTAAGAAAATCACAAAACTTTAAACTGAAAAACAGAAGAAATCTTTTTCAGTGTTACAGGTTCATAGAATTCATAAAAAGTATTTATCCTGGATTCCTTTACATAATAATCATCCATATGTGGTTAGGTGTTTGAATATCAATCATTTACATCTGACTAGAAGTGGGAAATTTGAGATGCTACAGGAAAACTTTAAAAACATTATGAACCCAAGCCAAACTAAAATCAATTAGAAAGTAAGCCAAAGCATCTCAAAGTATACTTTTAGTTGTTAGGCAATACCATTCAATTTCCAAAATCTAATTTAAATGCAATTTTTACAGAAATTTAAAATGTGCCAGTTTAGTTACATTTATTGAACAAAGTTAACAAATGAATATCTCTTGACAACGAGAGCTCCAAGGACTTAAAAAAAAGCTGTAAAGTTTGTTTCCTTTCCTTAAAAACACAGATAATTATGACCTTTATTTAAAATACATAAGTCAACCAGACAACTGAATATTTTGCCAAAAAAATACAAGAATTATATCAGAAGTCTGAGAAGGAAAGAAAAAATGATGCTACACCTAACCTTTGACAAGTCGCTCTCCATTCTGATATTTGAAGACAATGAGTTTAAGGTAGGAATTCTTAAGGCTTCTCTTGGAATATGTATTCTGCTGAGACCTAAATTTTCATTAAGATTTCCATTGCATGCTGACTCTAGGACTGGCCTTGTAGTATGAGAAGTAAATAAAGATCTGCTCCACTCTTTTTCTTGAAGAAGTTTGGTACTGACATCTGCTAGAATTTCTTTACGCCTATGAAGATTGCAAAACACAGATACTGAGTATTTTGGGGTTTTTTTTACAAATTATGTCTAAATGACTTGCATTGTTTAAAAAGTCACCATGAGTCAATGAAAGATACCACAAACCATGTTTTAACTCTGAAAATGTATGAGAGCACGTGTATCGTACACAGTTTTAATTTTAAAATTGTTCTAAAGAAGTACATGTACTCCTAGAGGATTTTTAACAAGTAATTCAAACAAAGTAGGGAGGGAAGAGCAAAAGCTATCAATGATGTACGGATTAACAGGTGACATTTGTTGTCTTCTGAAATGGCTCTATTTATAAGATTCTTAAGGATGCCATTAGAAATACTTGCATTTAGGCTGGGCATGGTGGCTCACACCTGTAATCCCAGCACTTTGGGAGGCCAAAAGGGGTGGATCACTTGAGGTCAGGAGTTCAAAACCAGCCTAGCCAACATGGTGAAACCCTGTCTCTACTAAAAATACAAAACATTAGCCAGGCATGGTGGCGGGTGCCTGTAATCCCAGCTACTTGGGAGGCTGAGGCAAGAGAATCATTTGAACCCGGGAGGCGAGATCGTGCCACTGCATTCCAGCCTGGGACAAGAGCAAAACTCCATCTCAAGACAAAAAAAAAAGTAAAAAAGCAAATAAATACTTTTGTTTAAAGGGGAACTACATGAAATGATAAACATGTTAATTTGCTGGACTAGAATCACCATTTGACTATGTATAAATATATTAAAACATCATGTGTTACTCCTTAAATATATAGGAGTACCAAAATATATCCAAAAATATAAATCCAAAAATATTTTACTCCGGTGAAATAACTAAAAGTAAAATAAAGCTAGAAATACTTGTATTCAGTAAGCCAGTTACAGAAAAAAACTATCCCTCAAAGACACTTTCAAGCATTTCTTCTTACCACCCTTGTACATTTCACCCATTATTTGAGAAGCATTTGGCACTGGGGAATCATTCAGAACAACAATTCCCTGGGGAGAAGGAGATAGCCGAGATCAAAGAGAACTCAGTCATCTCCAAAGGTGATTTACTCCTAAAATTGTGACCCAGGCATCAGAAGTGGGGCCTGCCCTTTTGGACTTCCACCCACCACCTCAGGCTGACCAAGGTGGTGTTTTTCACCACTTTGTGAATTATATTTCCTTTCAACCCTGTGTTAATTATTCTCTAATTCACAAGTATGCCCTTATGTGGCGTGGAAAAACTATACAAAATACTTTGTTCCAAGGTGGCCTCTAATGATAATACCAAAGATCGCAATCAATGACAGTTAATTTACTGAGTGCCAGAATGTGCAGAGGAGTAGAAGTACCTGACCCTTTTTCAGTTTAAGTTGTAATCTTATAAAAAATAATTAAATTCATTAATATTTCTTGTAGGGGAATGTTGACAAGCAATTGTGTAACAATATCACTGTCTAAATTATGAAGCTTCAAAGATACTTGGCTGAAAGACTAACAGATCAGGTTAACTAAATAAGAATATTAAGGGGATAAAGAGCCATATAAAACCAAAAAACAGGCCAGGCACGATGGCTCAGGCCTGTGATCCTAGCACTGTGGGAGGCTGAGGTGGGCAGATCACTTGAGGTCAGGAGTTCAAGACCAGCCTGGCCAAGATGGTGAAACTCCAGCTCCACTGAAAATATCAAAATTAGCCAGGAGTGGTGAGAATATGACAGGTCATACTCAGGAGGCTGAGGCAGGAGAATTGCTTGAACCTGGGAGGCAGAGGTTGCAGTGAGCAGAGATTGTGCCACTATACTCCAGCCTAGGCAACAGAGTGAGAATCCATCTCAAAAAAACAACACACAAAACAAACCAAAAAACACAATCAAAAACAGGGGAGTGACATGAATTGGCCTGGATTAACTTTTTTTATTTTTATTTTTATTTATTTTTTTTTTTTTGAGATGGAGTCTCACTCTGTCGCCCAGGCTGGAATGCAATGGGGTGATCTCGGCTCACTGAAACCTCCGCCTCCTGGGTTCAAGCAATTCTCCTGCCTCAGGCTCCCAAGCAGCTGAGATTACAGGAGCGTGCCACCATGCCTGGCTAATTTTTGTATTTTTAGTAGAGACGGGGTTTCACAATGTTGGACGGACTGGTCTTGAACTCCTGACCTCAGGTGAGCCACCCGTGGATTAACATTTTAAAGGTAAGCTCATTTACTAACATCATTTTCCAAAATTGTTTAATCTAGTTAGCTTTCGCTTCCCCCTAATCTCATAAACCTGTCTCACTAAAAATTATGCTTTTGAGGCAAATTAATGAGCTTCATTTCTTTTCTGTGATTCTGTGTTTTGACTTACTTGTTTAGTTCATCTGACAAAGATTCTCTAAGTTTTAATTCTTCTAGATACAGCTCCTTATATTTTTCCAATTCTGTTGTATTACAGTCCGCTTGTGAAGTTCTTGCTTTGTAGAGTTTGAATTCCAGATCTTTAATTCTAAGTTCCATCTGACTTTTCATAGTAGCATTGCTTTCCTCTTTTAACTGTAACTGGTCATGAGCTATTTTCTGTGACTAAAACAAATTGAAAGGGTACATTAAACAAATAATTATAACCTGAATAATTATTGTGTATTTGTTTCTTTTTGTTTTGGGTCGGTGATCTAGAGAGCATTTCTAAGTATGTGAAAAAAGCAACTGAAGTTTAATATATTTATTATGAGTATCAACTAAATTAATAATTTAATCTGAATTGTAAAAAAATGAAATCATGCTTATGGTAGTACTCATGAAATGTAACACTCCAAAGAATAATAAAATCAATTTAAATTCTGAAAAATTGAGCAATATAACTTAAGAATACTTCAAGAGTATAGTATAATTTATAAATCACATTTTTCTTCCTCTGTTAGTCTTGTTTTATGCCACTTGTCTTAGCAATCAAATGATTCACTAATGAGAATCATTATTATGGAAGATCAATTTAGTTACAATAATGACGGCAAGTGAAATATTTAAAGAGAGAAACAGATACCACCTTCCTTCTAGAAATCTACCAAACAAATTGCTACAAGAGAAGTAGAGGAAACACATACAATGTATGTATCCCAAATATAATTTGCACTGAAATGAATGAAGGCACCTTATTGATAATAAACTAACCTGTAAAAGTAGACCAATGTTTTCTAATTGTTCTGCTATCTCCTGCCTTGCTCTTTCTTCTACCTCCTGTTTATAGTGTTCCAATTGACCACATTCTAACATATTCATTTCCATGTGACTTTTGAGGTTTACTAGTTCTTCTTCCAACTTCTCCTGATCCTTCTGTAGTGTTTCACGTTTCTCTTGCATTGTTTTCATATATAATAATGCCTGTTGAAGAACTTCAATCTCTGCATTCACATGTAGACCTTCTGAAGATGCAGTTTCCACTGCTTCTGTAAGATCAGCCTGCATGAGTAAAATAATATGGTTTGGTAATGAAGAAAGAAGACAGAATAGTCTAATATAAAACTAATCATTTTTGAAATAAATTCAGTTGCAATAAAATGTTATCTATACTGCAGTAGATTCTTAAAACATGAATCCTTGAATTACCTAGAAAATCAAAAACAAATTTAAAACCACCAGGAATCACAAAAATATATGTTTTACACACATCATCTTTGCCACACAACATTTTTACGTGATAGTAGGCTTTCATTTTCCTGATTGTTTAATGTATTTCCTCTTTAAAATTGCTCCAAGTCACTTCTCTTTTTTTTTTTTTTTTGGTTTGTTTTTTTTTTTTTTTTTTTGAGGTGGAGTCTCACTGTTGTTGCCCAGGCTGGAGGGCAGTGGCATGGCCTCGGCTCACTGCAACCTCCGCCTCCTGGGTTCAAGTGATTCTCCTGCCTCAGCCTCCTGAGTAGCTGGGATTACAGGCACCTGACACCATGCCCAGCTAATTTCTTGTATTTTTAACAGGGACGGGATTTCACCATGTTGGCCAGGCTGGTCTCGAACTCCTGACCTTGTGATCCACCCACCTCGGCCTCCCAAAGTGTTGGGATTACAGGCGTGTGCCACCACACTCAGTCTAAGTCACTTCTTAGTACAAAGTCTCTTGCCCCCTCATACCCTTTGTCATTCCCCATAATTTCTAAAAAAGTTTTAGGGACACCATATTAAATTATCCAGACCTAAGCCAATAAATCACTCTGAGAAGGAGACTTGAATATAAGACTCTAATTAACGAATCTTTATGATAAAAACTCCAACAAATTAGGCATAGAAGGAACATATTTCAACACAATAAAGGCCATATATGGCAAAACCACAGCTAACATTACACTGAAAGAGGAAAAGCTGAAAGTCTTTCCTCTAAGAACTGGCATAAGACAAGGATACCCACATTCAGCACTCATATTCAACACAGTATTAGAAGTCCTAGCCAGAGCAACTGGGTGAAAAAAAAATGAAGGGCATCTAAATTGGGAAAGAACAATCGAAATTTCTCTTTGTACATGACCTGATCCTATACATAAAAAACCTAGACTCCTCAAACAAACTCTTAGAACATTTCATCAAATGGCTACAGAATACACATTCTTCACATTGGTACATAGAACATTCCCCAGGATAGACCATATATTAGGCCAGAAAACAAGTCTTAGCAAATTTTAAAAACTTAAAATCATATCAAGTATCTTCTCAAACATAATGGAATAAAACTAGAAATCAATACCACTTACGAATGCTAAAAAATAATAAAATACTACTCAGGAACAAATTTAACCAAGGAAGTGATAGAGCTCCCCTGCAAGAAAACTATGAAACACTGATGAAAGAAATGGTAGAGGACAAAAACAAATGGAAATATATCCCATGCTCATGAATTTAAATAATTAATATTGTTAAAATACTATCTGAAGGAGTCTACAGGTTAAATATGATCACTATTAAAATACATATTAGTCTATTTTCACACTGCTGTAAAGATACTACCCAAGACTGGGTAAAATGTATTTAAAAAGAGGTTTAATTGACTCACAGTTCTGCATAGCTGGGGAGGCCTCAGGAAACTTACAATCACAGCAGAAGGGGAAGTAGGCACATCTTACATGGTGGCAGGAGAGAGAGGAGAAAGTGAAGGGGGAAGAGCCCCTTATAAAACCATCAGATCTCGTGAGAACTCACTCACTATCATGAGAACAGCATGGGGGAAACTGTCCCCATGATCCAATCACATCCCTCCCTTGACATGTGGGGATTACAGGTCTCTTCCTCCACACATGGGGATTATAATTTGAGATGAGATTAGGATTGGGACACAGAGTCAAACCATATCAAAATATCAATTACATTTTTAACTGGGGAACAAGATGACCAACCAGATGCAGCCAGAAATACCTCTTCCACAGAGAGAAAACAAAATATTGAGTAAACCATCACACTTTGAACAGATTTTGGGGGAAAAAGAACTCAAAGTCAATAGAGAGGCAATGCAGACACTGAGTTTGAAGAGGAAGGAAACTAGGAAGCCAGATGGAGTCACCAATCACCAGGACCAGCTCTTGGTCCAGAATTGGACCTACGGAAGGAGAGAGTGAAGGAACTAGGGGTCACACAATCCTGCCAGGGACCTCTGAGATCCTAGGTACAAGAGATCCCATGATAAACACAGACATTTGAATTGTCAGGGGGAACTGCCAGGAGAGTAGGAAGAGGCAGAGCTTGAACATGCATGGAGCCCAAAAGGTTTCATGCATGAGGCAGCTGCAGGAAAATATGAGAATAGGCACCCATCCACCAAGGCTCTCCATCTTTCCGAGTCACTTTAGCCCCTGCTGACAGCCTGACCAGGAGAGAGCAGGGCTGCCTTTTCCAAGGGCCTGGAGTGCATCTGATTTGCACACCCCCTTGTTTGCCGGTCCCTTCCCCAGCTCCTGCCTAGTTGCTCCCTCAAGGGTGTACACATAGCACAGCCTCCACTGCCCCCACCTGAGTGTTTTTCTGGCAGCCTGAAAGCAGTTTGCCCACTCCAGTACAGCCAATGCTTGACGCTGAGGTACCAGAGGATATAGCTACGAGACCCATCCCAACTTCCCAGGGTTTGAGTGCACAGTTAAGGGGTATTAAGCTGGTATCTGTGGCCTGAGCTCAAGTCGGGGTGGCACCCCCACTCTCAGAACACTGAGAAGAGTGAGGCACAGATTCATGTGCTGGCATGGGAGCTGGGCGTGCCTCCTTCTGCGAGACTGGTCTGGGAAAAGCATAGCCTGTTGGATGGCCACAGACTCCATCCAAGAGAAACCTATGGCCTGGAACACATATCAGGCCAAAGATTTGGGTTTAGAAGGCTTGGGACAAAACTAGCTGGTCAGGCCTTACCTAAAAGCACACATCACAGAAAAACTGGTTGGGGAGCATGAGTTGTATGGTCCTCAAAGCCAACTGCTGAGCAAAAAACTCCAGGCTGTGGGTACCACACCAGCTGCACACCCATGGCACCACCCAACCTGCCCAGGGGACCTTCACCCTTGACCCACAGCATCCACAGACACCTGCAGACATACCCCATATCCCATTCAGACTCTTCCAAGCACGGGGAATCAGCAGGTCCCTGGAGATTTGGAGGACTAACCTTTGGCTCAGGCTGCCCCTAAAGCAAGCTTGTCCTGGGCCCATGGGCTGCATGCAGACCAGGAAGACTTTGAACGTGGCCCAACACACATTTGTAAATTTTCTTGAAACATTATGAGTTTTTTTTGCAATTTTTTTTTTTTTTTTAGCTCATCAGCTATCGTTAGTGTTAGTGTGTTTTATGTGTGGCCCAAGAGAATTCTTCTTCTTCCTATGTGGTCCTGAGAAGCCATAAGATTGAACATCCCTGGCCTTAAAGATGGGGGCTGTGCAGCTGTCCAGGGACTTCTTTGGAGCTAAGAAAGAGGGAGTATAGCACCAGTGATTGAAGGGGATTCTCTGAAGGCTTGGGAACAAACTTTGTGAGAAAGGCATTTCTTGCCTCCCTGCCAACTGTTTCCCCCTCCTCAGAGGCCTGCTTCAAACACACTGATACACAAGAGTTATGCAGCTGAGTAAGAGCCTATCCACCAGCCCTTACTCCAAAGCACCATCTACGGGATTGAAGTCAGAATTACACCACCAAACACAATTAATTCCTTAAACACAGTTAGCCTGTGAAAACCAATGCAGGAAACTAGCCACAACTAAGAAATCCATAGAGGTCAGGTGCGGTGGCTCACGCCTATAATCCCAGCACTTTGGGAGACGAAGACAGGTGGATCACCTGAGGTCAGGAGTTCAAGACCAGCCTGGCCAATATGGTGAAACTTCATCTTTTCTAAAAAAAAAAAAAAAAAAAAAAAAAATTAGCCTGGTGTAGTGGCAGGCATCTGAATCCCAGCGACTTGGGAAGCTGAGGCAGGGGAATCACTCAAACATGGCAGGCGGATGTTGCAGTGAGCCAAGATCACACCACTGCACTCCACCCCGGGTGACAAGAACAAAACTTCATCTCAAAAAAAAAAAAAAAAAGAAAGAAAAAGAAATTCATAAAGATCCTAGGCCTTCTGAAAGAACACAGAAATTAAACCAATGAACTGTTCCAACATACACAACAGTCAAACACTCAAGGGAAGAATAGGAATATAGAAACCAGAAGTCATATCCAAATGACAGCAATTTCAAAAAGATAAATAAACACTAGCCCTCTCAGATGAGAAAGCATCTGTGAAAGAAATCCAGCAATTCAAAAAGTCATAGCGTTTTCTAACCCTCAGAGGATCACACTAGCTCCTCAGCAATTGATCCTAACCAGATTGAAATGCTGAAATGATAGTCTTAGAATCCAGAATCTGGATGGTAAGGAAGCACAATGAGGTCCACGGGAAAGTTGAAACCTAACCAAGGAAGCCAGAAAAATAATTCAAGAGTTGAAAGATGACATAGCCATTTTAAGAAAGAAGAAAACTGGGCTTCTGGGATTGAACAACTCACTCTAGGAATTTCAAAATACAATTGGAAGCCTCAAAAACAGACTAGACCAAGCAGAGGAAGAAATTATAGAACTTGATGTTGGGTCCTATGAATCAACCCAGTCAGATGAAAATAAAGAAAACAGAATTTTTAAAAGTGAACAAAACCTCTGAGAAATATGGGATCCCATAAAGATACCAAATCTATGACTCATTGGCATTGTGGAGAAAGAGTAAGTAATTTGGAAAACACACTTTAGAATATAGTCCACAAAACTTTCCCCAATCTCATTAGAGAAGCTGACATGCAAATTCAAGAAATTCAGCGATAAGATACTATACAAGATGGTCATTCCAAAGACACATAGTGAAAAGCATCCAAAAGTCAACGTGAAAGTCTTATGGCAGCTAGAGAAAAGGGTCAGATCACATACAAAGGGAAGCCCATCAGGCTAACAGCAGACTTGTCAGCAAAACTTTACAAGCCAGAAGAGTGTTGGCCTATTTTAGCATCCCTAAATAAATTCAAACCCCAAATTTTATATCCTGTCAAACTAAACTTCATAAGTGAAGGAGAAAAAAATCTTTTCCAGACAAGCAAATGCTAAGGGAATTTAATACCATTAGACCAGCCCTACAAGAGATCCTTGAGGGAGTTCTAAACATGGACATGAAAGAACAATACCTGCAACCACAGAAACACACATAAGTACATAGCTCACAGACCTTATAAACAAATACACATTGGAGACTACAAAGCAACCAGATAACAACATCCCGGCAGGATAAAAATCTGACATATAAATATTAGCCTTGGATAAAATTATCTAAATACCCCACTTAGAAGGCACAGAGTGGCAAGCTGGATTAAAGAAAATCAAGAATCACCATCTGCTGTCTTCAAAAGGCCCAACTCACATACAATTACACCCATAGGCTCAAAGTAAAGGCATAAACTAAGATCTATCATGCACACAGAAAACAAAAAATCAGGGGTCATTATTCTTATATCAGATTAACACACTTTAAACCAACAACAGTTTTTAAAAATGACAAAGAAGAAGACGATAAAGAATGATACACAATGATAAAAGAACTCAATTCAACAAGAAGGCATAAATATTTTTAAATATATAGGCACCCAACCCTGGAGCATCGGATTTCTAAAACAAGTACTTCTAGATCTATGAAAAGACTTAGTTAGCCACCCAATTATAGTTAAAAATTTCAACACCTCATTGGCAGCATTAGACAAATTGCTGACACAGAAAAGTAACAAAGACATTCTAGAATTAAATTTAACATTTCACCTATTGAACTTAATTGACACTTACAGAATCCTCCACCCAACAATCACAGAATGTACTTTCTTCTCATCGGCACAGGGAACACACTCTGAGATCGACCACATGCTCAGCCATAAAGCAACTCTCAATACATTTTTTAAAAACTGAAAGTATACCAAGCATAATATCTCAGACCCTAGTGGAATAAAAATAGAAATCCATACCAAAAATTTCTCTCAATGTCACATAATTATATGAAAATTAAACAACTTGCTCCTGAATGACTTTTGGGTAAACAACAAAATAAAGACAGATATTAAAAACTCTTGAAAATAAATAAAAACAGAGACAGAACACGCCAAAATTTCTGGGATACAGCAAAACCAGTATTAAGAAAAAAGATTATAGCACTAAATACAGACATCAAGAAGCCAGAAAGGTCTCAAACTAACAAAATCGCACCTACTAGAACTAGCAAAACAAAAACCAAATAACCTCAAAGCTAGCAGAAGTAAAGAAATAACTAAAACCAGAGCAGAACTGAATAAATTTGCGACACAAAAATCCTTACAAGTAATCAACAAAACCAAAAGTTTGTCCTTTGAAAGGATAAATGAGATCGATAGCTAGCTAGCTACATTAACAAAGAAAAAATAGAGAAGATTCAAATAAACACAATCAGAAATGGCAAAGATGGCATTACAATGGATCCCACAGAAATACAAAATATCATCAAAGACTATTATGAACACCTCTATGCACAGAAACTAAGAAATCTAGAGGAAATGGATAAATTCCCAGAAATACAAAACCTCCCAAGATTGAACCAAGACGAAATTAAAATCCTTAACAGACAATAACAAGTTCTGAAATGGAATCAGTAATTTAGAAACCTAGTAACCAAAGAAAAAGCCCTGAACCTATTGGATTCAGAGCCAAATTCTACCAGACATACAAAGAAGATCTGTTACCAATCCTACTGAAACTATTCCAAAGTATCGAGTTTGAGAGACTCCTCCCTAACTCATTCTATGAATACAGCATCATCTTGATATTAAAAGCTGAAAGAGATGCAGTGAAAAAAGAAAACTGCAGGACAATATCTCTGAAGAACATAGACACAAAAATTCTCAACAAAACATTAACAAACCAAATCTTGCAACACATCAAAAATTCACTTTTTTTTTTTTTTTTTTTTTTTTGAGACGGAGTCTCGCTCTGTGGCCCAGGCTGGAGTGCAGTGGCGTGATCTCAGCTCACTGTAAGCTCCACCTCCCGGATTCAAGCCATTCTCCTGCCTCAGCCTCCCGAGTAGCTGGGACTACAGGTGTCCACCACCATGCCCAGCTAATTTTTTTGTATTTTTAGTAGAGACGGGGTTTCACTGTGTTAGCCAGGATGGTCTCGATCTCCTGACCTCGTGATCCACCCACCTCGGCCTCCCAAAGTGCTGGGATTACAGGCAAGAGCCACCGTGCCTGACCCAAAATTCACTTTTTTACAATCTGACAGGCTTTATTTCTGGGATGCAAAGTTGGTTCAACATATACAAAGTAATAAATGTGATTCACCACATAAACAGAATTCTTAAAAACCACATGATCGTCTCAACAGATGCAGGAAAAACTTTCAGTAGACTCGCAATATTCCTTCATGATCAAAACATTCAACAAATTAGGCATCAAAGTAACATACCTGAAAATAATGACAGCCACCTATGACAAACACACAGCCAACATCATACTCGATGGGCTAACCTTGGAACCATTTTCCTTCAGAACTGGAACAAGAAAAAGATGCCCACTCTCTCCATTCCTATTCAACATAGTACTAGAAGTCCTAGCCAGGGCAATCAGGCAAGAGAAAGGAATTAAAGGCATCCAAGTAAGAACTGAAGAAGTCAAACTATCTCTCTTTTCAGATGATATGATTGTACACCTAGACAGCCCTAAAGACTGTCAAAACGCTCCTAGATCTGACAGCAATTTCAGTAAAGTTTCTAGTTACAAAATCAACGTGGAAATATTAGCAGCATTTCAATACACCAATAGTGTTTAAGGTGAAAGCCAAATCAAGAACACAATCCCATTTATAAATAGCCACAAAAAAAAAAATACCGGGAAATGCATCTGACCAAATAAATGAAAGATTTCTACAAGAAGAACTATACACAATGCCAAAAGAAATCAGAAATTAAACAAACAAATGAAAAAAATCCATGCTCATGGATTGGAAGAATGAGTATCATCAAAATGCTTATACTGCCCAATGCAATCTACAAATTCAATCCACACTATTCCTATCAAGCTACCAACACCATTTTTTCACAGCGTTAGGAAAAATGACTCTAAAACTCATAGAACCAAAAAAGAGCCACACTAGCCAACCAATCCTGAGGAAAAAAAAGCTGGAGGCATCAGTCTACCTGACTTCAAATTATATTACAAGGATACAGTAACCACAACACACGGTTTTGGTATAAAAGCAAATACAAAGACCAACAGAAAGAATAGAGAACCCAGAAATTAATCCACATATTTACAGCCATCTTATTTTTGATAAAATGTCAAGAACATCCATGGGGGAAAGAACATTCTCATCAACAAATAAGGCTGGGAACACTGGATATCTGTAGGCAGAAGAATGAAACTAGATCCTTATAGTTCTCCATATACAGAAATCTACTGTAAATGGATTAAAGAAAATTTAAGAACCAAAATTATAAAACTACTAGAAGAGAACATAGCAGAAATGCTTCAGTACCTTGGTCTAGGCAAAGCTGTGATGACTAAAACATCAAAAACACAGGCGAAAACTGACCAATGAGACTATATTAAAATTTAAGTTTCTTCATAGCAAAGGGAACAACCAACAGAGTGAAGAGACAATCTGTAGAATGGAAGAAAATGTTTGCAATTTATTCATCTGACAAAGGTCTAATATTCAGCTTATATAAAGAGCTCAAACAACCCAACAGCAAAAACAAAATTAATAATCTGATTAAAAAGTGGGCAAAGGATCTGAATAGACATTTTTCAAAAGAAGATGTACAAATGGCCAACAAATATATGAAAAATACTCAACATCAGTAATTATCAGGAAATGAAATAAATCTGCAATGAGATATCATCTCACTACAGTTAGAATGGCTACTATCAAAAAGACAGAAAGTAAAAAATGCTGGTGAGGTTGCAGAAAAAGGAAACTCTTATGCACTGTTGGAGGGAATGTAAATTAGTATAGCCATTAAGGAAAACAGTATGGAGGTTTCTTAAAAACTAAAAATAGAACTATAAAACAATCCAACAATCCCACTACTGAGTATTTATCAAAAAGAAAGAAAATAAATGTATCAAAGAAATACCAGCACTGCCATTTTTATTGTATCACTATTTATAATTACTAAGATATGGAATCCACCTAAATGTTTATCAACAGATGAATGCATAAAGAAAATGTGGTATCTGTACACAATGGAAGACTATTCAGCCATAAAATAGAATAAAATTATATCATTCTCAGCCACATAGATGACCTTAGAGGACATTATGTTAAGTAGAATAAGTCAGGCACAGAAGAACAAATGCTGTATGTTCTCACTCATGTGGGAGCTAAATTTTTTTTAAAAATGAGTTCGTGGTAGTAGAGAAAAGAACTGTGGACATTAGAGTCTGGGAAATGAAGGGGAGTGGGGGATGGGGTGAGGTTGGTTAATGGAAAAGAAATTATCACTAGATAGAATGAACTCTAGTGTTCTGTGGCATTGTAGGGTGAATATGATTAACTATGATTTATTGTATTTTTTTGAAAGCTAGAAGAGAGGATTATAAATGTTCACAAAAAAAAGAATGGTAAATGGTTGAAGTGCTTGATATAATAATTAACCTGATTTGACGATTATACGTTGTTTACATGTATCAAAATATTACTGTGTATCCTATAAATATGTACAAATATACATGACCACAGAATATAAAAGAAAGCCAGGCATGGCGTAACATGCCTGTAGTCACAGCAATTTGGGAGGCTGAAGCAGAAGGATCCCTTGAGCTCAGGAGTTTAAGGCCAGCCTGAGTAACACAGTGAGATCCATTTCTAATATACATAAATAGATAAATAATAAAAATAGAAGAAAAAAATTTATCCTATAAAGAAGTAGACTGTGGGCCAACCCTACTGACTTGCCTCTAATGAAGAAATGTGGTAAAAGTGATACCACGTGTCTTCCAACATTAAGTTAGAAAAGGCCCTCTACCTCACACTGCTTGTCCTTGGAACTTAGACCCCACGTTGTGAGGAAGCTCAGGCCACAAAGATAGCCTAAGAGTTCCAATGAAGGTATTTCAGCTGCCTGCCCCAACTAAAGTTTCAGTCAATGGCCATCATGAACAACCAGACAGTTAGGGAACATGCCTTCATAGGATTCCAGTCCTCCAACCTCTGATTTATCCCAAGTGAAGCTCAGGGGAATGGAGACAAGCTGTCCTGGCCAAAGTTTTCCCCACCCACAGATGGCTGAACTAAATAAATGTTGTTTTCAGCAACTCAACTTTGGGTAATTTGTTAGGAAAAAATAAACAGAAAATTTGATTTAAACAAAGAGACATCAAGAAAAAATAACTTATGGGAGCCAAGATGGCCAAATAGGAACAGCTCCAGTCTACAGCTCCCAGCGTGAGCAACACAGAAGACGGGTGATTTCTGCATTTCCAGCTGAGGTACCAGGTTCATCTCATTGGGGAGTGCCAGACAGTGGGTGCAGGACAGTGGGTGCAGTGCACCGTGCGGGAGCCAAAGCAGGGCGAGGCATCGTCTCACCTGGGAAGCGCAAGGGGTCAGGGAATTCCCTTTCCTAGTCAAAGAAAAGGGTGACAGATGGCACCTGGAAAAACGGGTCACTCCCACCCTAATACTGCACTTTTCCAATGGGCTTAACAAACGGCACACCAGGAGATTATATCCCGCACATGGCTCGGAGGGTCCTACGCCCATGGAGCCTCGCTCATTGCTAGCACAGCAGTCTGAGATCAAACTGCAAGGTGGCAGCAAGGCTGGCGGAGGGGCGCCCGCCATTGCTGAGGCTTGAGTAGGTAAACAAAGCACCTGGGAAGCTCGAACTGGGTGGAGCCCACCACAGCTCAAGGAGGCCTGCCTGCCTCTGTAGGCTCCATATCTGGGGGCAGGGCACAGACCAACAAAAGGCAGCAGTAACCTCTGCAGACTTAAATGTCCCTGTCTGACAGCTTTGAAGAGAGTAGTGGTTCTCCCAGCACGCAGCTTGAGATCTGAGAACAGGCAGACTGCCTCCTCCAGTGGGTCCCAGACCCCCAAGTAGTCTAACTGGGAGGCACCCCCCAGTAGGGGCGGACTGACACCTCACACGGCCAGGTACTCCTCTGAGTCAAAACTTCCAAAGGAACGATCAGGCAGCAGCATTTGCGGTTCACCAATATCTGCTGTTCTGCAGCCACCGCTGCTGATACCCAGGCAAACAGGGTCTGGAATGGACCTCGAGCAAACTCCAACAGACCTGCAGCTGAGGGTCCTGACTTTTAGAAGGAAAACTTAACAAACAGTAAGCACATCCACACCAAAAACCCATCTGTACATCACCATCATCAAAGACTGAAGGCAGATAAAGCCACAAAGATGGGGGAAAAAACAGAGCAGAAAAACTGGAAACTCTAAAAATCAGAGCACCTCTCCTCCTCCAAAGGAATGCAGCTCCTCATCAGCAATGGAACAAAGCTGGACGGAAAACGACTTTGACGAGTTGAAAGAAGAAGGCTTCAGAAGATCAAACTACTCCGAGCTAAAGGAGGAAGTTTGAACCAATGGCAAAGAAGTTAAAAACCTTGAAAAAAATTAGATGAATGGCTAACTAGAATAACCAATGCAGAGAAGTCCTTAAAGGAGCTGATGGAGCTGAAAACCATGGCATGAGAACTACATGATGAATGCACAAGCCTCAGGAGCTGATGCGATCAACTGGAAGAAAGGGTATCAGCGATGGAAGATGAAATGAATGAAATGAAGTGAGAAGATACGTTTAGAGAAAAAAGAATAAAAACAAATGAACAAAGCCTCCAAGAAATATGGGACTATGTGAAAAGACCAAATCTACGTCTGATTGGTGTACCTGAAAGTGACAGGGAGAAAAGAACCAAGTTTGAAAACACTCTGCAGGATATTATCCAGGAGAACTTCTCCAATGTAACAAGGCAGGGCAACATTCAAATTCAGGAAATACAGAGAATGCCACAAAGATACTCCTCGAGAAGAGCAACTCCAAGACACATAATTGTCAGATTCACCAAAGTTGAAATGAAGGAAAAAATATTAAGGGCAGCCAGAGAGAAAGGTGGGGTTACCCACAAAGAGAAGCCCAACAGACTAACAGCTGATCTCTCAGCAGAAACTCTACAAGCCAGAAGAGAGTGGGGCCAATATTCAACATTCTTAAAGAAAAGAATTTTCAACCCAGAATTTCATATCCAGCCAAACTAAGCTTCATAAGTGAAGGAGAAATAAAACACTTTACAGACAAGCAAATGCTGAGAGATTTTGTCACCACCAGGCCTGCCCTAAAAGAGCTCCTGAAGCAAGCACTAAACATGGAAAGGAACAACCAGTACCAGCCACTGCAAAAACATGCCAAATTGTAAAGACCATTGAGGCTAGCAAGAAACTGCATCAACTAATGAGCAAAATAACCAGCTAACATCATAATGACAGGACCAAATTCACACATAACAATACTAACCTTAAATGTAAATGGGCTAAATGATCCAATTAAAAGACACAGACTGGCAAATTGGATAAAGAGTCCAGACCCATCAGTGTGCTGTATTCAGGAAACCCATCTCACATACAGAGACACACATAGGCTCAACATAAAGGGATGGAGGAAGATCTACCAAGCAAATGGAAAACAAACAAAGGCAGGGGTTGCAATCCTAGTCTTGGATAAAACAGACTTTAAACCAACAAAGATCAAAAGAGACAAAGAAGGCCATTACATAATGGTAAAGGGATCAATTCAACAAGAAGAGCTAACTATCCTAAATATACATGCACCCAATACAGGAGCACCCAGATTCATAAAGCAAGTCCTTAGTGATCTACAAAGAGACTTAGACTCCCACACAATAATAATTGGAGACTTTAATACCCCATTGTCAACATTAGACAGATCAACAAGACAGAAAGTTAACAAGGATATCCAGGAATTGAACTCAGCTCTGCACCAAGCAGACCTAAGAGACTCTACAGAACTCTCCACCCTAAATCAACAGAATATACATTCTTTTCAGCACCACACCACACCTATTCCAAAATTGACCACATAGTTGGAAGTAAAGCACTCCTCAGCAAATGTAAAAGAACAGAAATTATAACAAACTGTCTCTCAGACCACAGTGCAATCAAACTAGAACTCCGGATTAAGAAACTCACTCAAAACCGCTCAACTACATGGAAACTGAACAACCTGCTCCTGAATGACTACCAGGTACATAATGAAATGAAGACAGAAATAAAGATGTTCTTTGAAACTAACGAGAACAAAGACACAACACACCAGAATCTCTGGGACACATTCAAAGCAGTGTGTGGAGGGAAATTTATAGCACTAAATGCCCACAAGAGAAAGCAGGAAAGATCTAAAATTGACACCCTAATATCACAATTAAAAGAACTAGAGAAGCAAGAGCAAACACATTCAAAAGCTAGCAGAAGGCAAGAAATAACTAAGATCAGAGCAGAACTGAAGGAAATAGAGACACAAAAAACCCTTCAAAAAATCAGTGAATCCAGGAGCTGGTTTTTTGAAAAGATCAACAAAATTGATAGACCACTAGCAAGACTAATATAGAAGAAAAAAGAGAAGAATCAAATAGATGCAATAAAAAATGATAAAGGGGATATCACCACCGATCCCACAGAAATACAAACTACCATCAGAGAATACTATAAACACCTCTACGCAAATAAACTAGAAAATTTAGAAGAAATGGATAAATTCCTCGACACATACACCCTCCCAAGACTAAACCAGGAAGAAGTTGAATCTCTGAATAGACCAATAACAGGCTCTGAAATTGAGGCAATAATTAATAGCTTACCAACCAAAAAAAGTCCAGGACCTGATGGATTCACAGCCGAATTCTACCAGAGGTACAAGGAGGAAATGGTACCATTCCTTCTGAAACTATTCCAATCAATAGAAAAAGAGGGAATCCTCCCTAACTCATTTTATGAGGCCAGCATCATCCTGATATCAAAGCCTGACAGAGACACAACAAAAAAAGAGAATTTTAGACCAATATCCTTAATGAACATTGATGCAAAAATCCTCAATAAAATACTGGCAAACTGAATCCAGCAGCACATCAAAAAGCTTATCCACCATGATCAAGTGGGCTTCACCCCTGGGATGCAAGGCTGGTTCAACATATGAAAATCAATAAACGTAATCCAGCATATAAACAGAACCAAAGACAAAAACCACATGATTATCTCAGTAGATGAAGGAAAGGCCTTTGACAAAATTCAACAACCCTTCATGCTAAAAACTCTCAATAAATTAGGTATTGATGGGAGATATCTCAAAATAATAAGAGCGACCTATGACAAACCCACAGCCAATATCATACTGAATGGACAAAAACTGGAAGCATTCCCTTTGAAAACTGGCACAAGACAGGGATGCCCTCTCTCACCACTCCTATTCAACATAGTGTTGGAAGTTCTGGCCAGGGCGATCAGGCAGGAGAAGGAAATAAAGGGCATTCAGTTAGGAAAAGAGGAAGTCAAATTGTCCCTGTTTGCAGATGACATGATTGTATATCTAGAAAACCCCCATCATCTCAGCCCAAAATCTCCTTAAGCTGATAAGCAACTTCAGCAAAGTCTCAGGATACAAAATCAATGTGCAAAAATCACAAGCATTCTTATACACCAATAACAGACAGAGAGCCAAATCATGAGTGAACTCCCATTCCTAATTGCTTCAAAGAGAATAAAATACCTAGGAATCCAACTTACAAGGGACGTGAAGGACCTCTTCAAGGAGAACTACAAACCACTGCTCAATGAAATAAAAGAGGATACAAACAAATGGAAGAACATTCCATGCTCATGGGTAGGAAGAATCAATATCGTGAAAATGGCCATACTGCCCAAGGTAATTTATAAGACTCAATGCCATCCCCATCAAGCTACCAATGACTTTCTTCACAGAATTGGAAAAAAACTACTTTAAAGTTCATATGGAACCAAAAAAGAGCCTGCATCGCCAAGTCAATCCTAAGCCAAAAGAACAAAGCTGGAGGCATCACGCTACCTGACTTCAAACTATACTACAAGGCTACAGTAACCAAAACAGCATGGTACTGGTACCAAAACAGAGATATAGACCAATGGAACAGAACAGAGGCCACAGAAATAATACCACACATCTACAACCATCTGATCTTTGACAAACCTGACAAAAACAAGCAATGGGGAAAGGATTCCCTATTTAATAAATGGTTCTGGGAAAACTGGCTGGCCATATGTAGAAAGCTGAAACTGGATCCCTTCCTTACACCTTATACAAAAATTAATTCAAGATGGATTAAAGACTTAAATGTTAGACCTAAAACCATAAAAACCCTTAGTAGAAAACCTAGGCAATACCATTCAGGACATAGACATGGGAAAGCACTTCAAGTCTAAAACACCAAAAGCAATGGCAACAAAAGCCAAAATTGACAAATGGGATCTAATTAAACTAAAGAGCTTCTGCACAGCAAAAGAAACTACCATCAGAGTGAACAGGCAACCTACAAAATGGGAGAAAATTTTTGCAACCTACTCATCTGACAAAGGGCTAATATCCAGAATCTACAATGAACTCAAACAAATTGACAAGAAAAAAACAAACAACCCCATCAAAAAGTGGGCAAAGGACATCAACAGACACTTCTCAAAAGAAGACATTTATGCAGCCAAAAAACACATGAAAAAATGCTCATCACTGGCCATCAGAGAAATGCAAATCAAAACCACAATGAGATACCATCTCACACCAGTTAGAATGGTGATCATTAAAAAGTCAGGAAACAATAGATGCTGGAGAGGATGTGGAGAAATAGGAACACTTTTACACTGCTGGTGGGACTGTAAACTACTTCAACCATTGTGGAAGTCACTGTGGCGATTCCTCAGGGATCTAGAACTAGAAATACCATTTGACCCAGCCATCCCATTACTGGGTATATACCCAAAAGATTATACACCATGCTGCTATAAAGACACATGCACACATATGTTAATTGCAGCACTATTCACAATAGCAAAGACTTGGAACCAACCCAAATGTCCAAAAATGATAGACTGGATTAAGAAAATGTGGCACATATACACCATGGAATACTATGCAGCCTTAAAAAATGATGAGTTCATGTCCTTTGTAGGGACATGGATGAAGCTGGAAACCATCATTCTCAGCAAACTATGGCAAGGACAAAAAACCAAACACCGCATGTTCTCACTCATAGGTGGGAATTGAACAAGAAGAACACATGGACACAGGAAGGGGAACATCGCACACCGGGGCCTGTTGTGGGGTGGGAGGAGGGGGGTGGGATAGCATTAGGGATATACTAATGCTAAATGACAAGTTAATGGGTGCAGCACACCAACATGGCACATGTATACATATGTAACAAACCTGCATGTTGTGCACATGTACCCTAAAACTTAAAGTATAATAATAATAATAAAATAAAAAATAAAAATAAAAAAAAGAAATTAAGTACAATTTCCCCTTTACCTTACTTTGAGCCTGTTTGTATGAAGAAGGTGAGACCATCTCATCTTTATTTTGTAACAAAATGCTTCTCCATATCATACAAATTGAGCAAGACATGTTACTGCACAAGGATAGACATAGACCAGCATATTGGAATTGAGAATCCAAAATTAAATCTGTATGTTTGTGTTCAATTGATTTTCAACAAGAGTTAAAAAGCAAATGAGAAAAGAATAGTATTTTCAACAAATGGTATCATCTCACCAAATGCCATATCTAAACATTTATTCAAAATAGAACAGCTAAATGTGAGAGCTAAAACTATAAAATTCTTAGATGAAGACACAGGCATAAATCTTTGTGACTGCATTTGCCAGTGGTTTCTTAGACATAACACCAAAAGGAAAAATAGATTAACTGGACTTGATCAAAATTTGGAACTTGAGCAGGAACCATCAGGAAAGCAAAGAGGAAGGCCATTGAGTAGAAATAAATATTTGAAAATCATGCATCTGATAAGGGACTTACACCTAGGATATAAAAACAACTCTTAAAATTTAGAAATAAAAAACCAATTTAAAAATGGGCAAAGGATTTGAATAGATATTTCTCCAAAGAAGATATACAAATGGTTCATAAGCACATAAAAAGATGCTTAAAGTCATTAGTCATTAGAAGAATGCAAATCAAAACCACAATAAAGTACCACATAGCACTACTAGAATGAAATCTTTTCTCAATCAAAAATATGGAAAATTTTGGCAAGGGTATGAAGACATTAGAACACCCTCATGATGCTGAGAAGAATGTAAAATGGTGCAGCCACTTTGGAAAACAGACTGGCAGCTCCTCAAAGAGTTAACACATGACTCAGCAATTCCACTCATAAGTATAACCCCAACAGAAATGAAAACATATGCAAACACAAGCACTTTTACATAAAAGTTCACGGCAGCTTTGTTAATAACAGTCCAAACTGGAAACAACCCGATGGTCCAACAATTGATGAATGGATAAATAAAATGATTGGTATATTCACACAATGGAATATTACTCAGCAATTAGAAGAAATTAAGTACTGATACCTGCTACCACACAGAAAACCCTTAAAATCTTACGCTAAGTGAAAAAAAAAAGTCACAAAAGACCACATATTGTGTGCTTCCACTGATAGAAAACATCCAGAATGGACAAATCTATACAATCAAAGGAGACTGGTGGTTCCCTGGAGCTGAGTAAAAAGGGGGAAACTGGTCAATGATAGCTTAGGGATGCAGAGTTTCTTTTCAGGGTCATAAAAATGTTCTAAAATTGATGGTGGCAATGGTTACACAACTGTGTGAATATACTAAGAAACTGTGAATTGTACACTTTACACAGATGAACTGTATGGTAGGTGAATTGTATCTTAATAAAGTTGTTTTTAAAAATCAAATGGCAGGATTTTGATAAATTTCCTACTTCTCTACTTTGGATTATATACTATACATGATCTGAATATTTCTGTTTTACAATATATTTAAAAGAAACAAAATAGGAAGGAAATGCCTAACATTTCAAGTAGTTTGTAAACTAATCTAAAACATTTGTATTTTGAAGACCAGTATAACAGTCTTTCCTGTACATGTTATCCTGAAATACATGAAATAAATATACAGAGATTCTGTACCCATTCACAAAAGTAAAGATAAGAAATAAGACAATTTTCTGAAATAAACATTATCCTCTGATTTAATCTCGTGTGCCTCATCATGGCAATAGAGAAAAATCACTAAAAATTACTGTTTCACAGAAAAAAAGTCTCTCAACTTTTGTGAGAAATGATGTCTAATTCTCAACTTTTCCTGAAGGTAAATATTATAAGAAAAATATGTACATACTTAAGAGGAAAAAATGACAGAATAAAAGTCAAGAGGTTAAGAAATAAGTACATTATAATGATAATAAAATTGTAATAAAATTAATTATAATGAAAACAAAAAAGAAAGCTGTTCACTGAAATTAGTATACTAAAACACTTCATATTATTTAACCAGCTATAGACTAACTGTTGACATGTTACATTTTATACATACTTGACTTCTGATTTGATCTGATTTCCTCTTTGAGGCCTGTGTTTCATCTAAATTAACATAACATGGTGTAGCCTCTAGTGGAGGCTCTGATATAGGTTGTTTTTTTACAGTATCAGCCAGTTCTTGTTGAAGTTGTCTCATAATTTCCTGTAAAGATATTTTTGTTATTGATTTTATGTCACCTTGTTATTAAATGATGGTCATAGAATTTAACTCTAACATAAATACTTTGAAAAATATTACCACATACATTGATTCACCTACTTTTCCGCATGTGTAATGAACATTCCTGTTCAATACTGAATTCAGTTAAGGACAGAAAAGGTGCTATTTTCCCACCAAATCAGTATTCTGTAACTTAGACAACAGATACAGCCCATTATACATTCATCACCTAAGTTTGCAATGCTTAATCATCTACTGAAGTCTCAGAAAGAAATGGGTATGTGAGTGAGACTAGTGGTGGTAAATTCTATACTCTGAAATGTTTTCTCTCTTCTTTATTAGAAGTTCAAATCAACTTCACAATTCCTCATTTATTCAATTGCCTGCTCAAATCCTTCCAATAGATTGCTGTATCGAAATAAAACTAAAATTTCAATGGCCTTTGAGGCCCTTGATAATCTTGCCTCCACCTCCCTGATCTCAGCTCCTACACTCTCTCCCCTACTCACTCCATTCCCACTATGTGTGAATCCTGTCACCCCTCGTTAGTTTGAACATGGGGACCCAATGCCAAACAAAGAAATCTCAGATTGCTACAATTATCTTTGTACTGGACAAAGTTATATCCAAATGAAATTAGTCATTGAGTCTTGAAATAAAAATTATGCACAAATTACTTGTAAAAACATTCGAAATAAATTACAAATGCCAGTGGTAAGAGTAAATCAAATATGGTTTTACTGATACTCACATCCGTCCCAAATTATATTTAATTAAAAGTGAATGCCGTCAAAGAGTTGAGAGGTCATGACAATAATGAAATAGTTTCAGATTTAAGTCAAACTGACATGAATAAAAATAAAATTACACCAACTTCAATATATAAGAAGCTCCTGAGGGAAAGTCTTATGAGATACAGCAGTACGCTTCAGTTCACCTGGGAAATCTGGACCTAACTGTCGAAATCACCCACCAAATTGAATCTTAATTTCAAAATATTCATTTCAGGTATGAGCATTTCCATTTATCTGTTTCATCATGGTCTCAAAATGTGGCCACATAAAGACATTAAAATTATTATTTCAGGCCCGTTGCGGTGGCTTACGCCTGTAATCCCAGCACTTTGGGAGGTCCAGGTGGGTGGATCACCTGAGGTCAGGAGTTTGAGACCAGCCTGGCCAACATGGCAAAACCCCGTTTCTACTAAAAATAGAAAAATTAGCCGGGCGTGGTGGCGCGTGCCTGTAATCCCAGCTACTCGTTAGGCTGAGGCAGGAGAATCGCTTGAACCCGGGAAGCGGAGGTTGCATTGAGCAAAGATCGTGCCACGGCACTCCAGCCTGGGCAACAGAATGAGACTCTGTCTCAAATTTTAAAAAAAAGGTATTATTTCAGCAGTGTAAGACTACATTATTGATATTAGTCTCTATCTATTAACAACTTGTAACTTAACCTCTCAATGTTTCATAGGTGACACTGTTTCTTTACTCAAAGCATCTTTCCAGTCTAACTTTTTTTGCTGGCATGTTTCTAGGCTGATAAAGCAAATATGTTTATAATACATATATTTTTATATTCAATGAGACTCATCATTTAGCAAAAACCAAATATTACTTTACATTTTCTTTCAAGAAGTTTGAAAAATATTTTCTTTCTCAATACTTACATTTCTTTCTGCTTTCTCTTTTTCATATTTATACAATCTTTTTTTTATGAAATCGCATTTATTGATCAAGTTGTTGTTTTTCTGCTCTAGTAGAAGACTTTGCTCTTCACTCTGAGCTTGATTTTTGACAATAGCATTAAATTGCTCTTGGATATTAATTATTGTCTCTTCTTGATTGTCGGCTTTCTTGTAAGCCTCATCCAGTTGCTGTCGAAGTAACAGATTTTCGTTTTGTATTTGAGATAATCTCTCCTCTAGAGATTCTTGCTTTTGAATGTATTTACTCACTTTGTCTTCTTCATTCTGAAACATTTGTTCAATTTCTTTCCTCCGACATTGTGATTGGGTTAGGTCTCTTTGGACATCTTCTAAAACCAATGTCTTTTCCTTTAGAGCATCTTTTGTCTGGTGCCACTTCATTTTGAGGCTTCTGATTTTATTTTCAGCATTAGAAAGTTTTTCAGAAAGCAGCTCATTCTTATCTTTTAGGTTACTCATATCAAAATTCATTTTTTCCTTTAAATGAAACCACTCTTCTCTTGTCCTCTGGAAATCACATTCTACATCTCTTTTTGATGCCTGACTTTGATCACGGTCTTGTAGAGCAGCAGCCAGTCTACAACGATATGATTCAATTTCTCTTTCCAGTCTCTCCTGGTTTTGGCTTTTATCCTTCAATTTAAAACTGGACATTTCATTCTCAGCTTTCAAAACTTCAGGCTGTATACTGTCCTGGAATATCATTGTTGCAAATGTTTCCTCTTTCAGCATCAAAGCATTTTGAAGGAAATCATTCTTTTCTTTCGCAATTTTAATGTCCTCAAGAAAATTCTTTTCCTTTTGCTGGTTCCAATTTTTCAGTGCATCTATTTCCAGTCTTAGCCTTGCAATTTCTTCCTGCAACATGCAATTTTTATGCAACAGATCTTTTTCTTTCTTATGCCCATGAGAAATCTAAATAAACAAAGGAAACTTTTAGCTAACATTCAATACAATGACATTTCATTACTTTCTCTGAAATTAAAGAATATCCTGCACATTTATACAATGAAAGCATTGCCATGAATGAATATCTAACTGGGAAAAAAAAGTTAAATTAAAACTTCAAACCTCATAGAGCATAAATTCTCCAAAGGTCAAAGATTTATTTAAAGACAATGAATCCATAAAAGTAAAAGAGAAACCACTAGAGAATGTGTAAGGTTCCCAGAAATGGAAAAACCTTTCTCAGAACAACAACAAACCCAAAGGCATAAAATAAAAGATTAAAAAAATTTACTACATTAAATATTGGGTTTACACTCTGATATCTAACCTATATACCACCATATACTAAGAGCCTTAGCTCTGCATATATTTGGACAGATGAAATTTCCCAATGTCCTTTAAGCTCCTTTTTCCTGAGAATATCCTACAGATATAGTATTTTTGTACCATTTTTATAGTCAGTTCTAAGAATGACATACGTGCATAAACGCTAAATATAAGCATTTCACTAAGCACTTCTACATATGTCACTGAACTCAATTATCACAATTCTGCAAAGGAGTGGTCAAAAAATAAGCAAGCTGCAGAATTTTCCCTAGGTTTTCTAACTCTACTTCTAGTGCGCCTCCACCAAATCACATTTATTTCTTTAGTATAAATAAATACAAAAAGAAGCCTTTTTATTTCAAAACACCAATAGTAAATAAGATAAAATTATAGAGCTTTGCTTAGAGAGTCATAAAATCATTTGCCATTGCAATAACTTCTATTTCCTCTTTATGATGTTTGAAAGAGTAATAAATGTGAAATGGGGGAAATATACTGAACTATTTTACTAGGAACGAAATACATATTAGCAAATTATCACTAGTTTATATTGTGGCACAACATTGTGTTCAAACTCTTTGTACTCAAATTAGACACTATTGGAGCAGACTGTTAATCTTCTCAAAAGTAAAAAGAAGAACATCCAAAATATGGTCTCTGAACTGCCTATACATTTTCTTCTTACCAATCAGTGGAAGTAATAAACTAACCCCTCCATTAATATAAAAATAAGATTAAATAACTTTCAACAACTAGAACATGTTTTGTTAGTAGCAAGGGTTTTGACATTATAGAAAGATCATTAATTCCTATGGAAAGTATCAAATGCTTCTGCTTTTCATGAGGGCAATATGAATATCACTACTTGACCATTGCAGACAAATGGCATTAAATTAAGAGAACATCATTTTATTCAGTGGGCCAAAGGCCAGAACCACCACCACCACCTCATAAAAGACAAAGACAAAAATTGTCTTCTTCCTTCTTTACAACTTGGATTTTAAACAGCCAGATTTAGAGGATGCGACATTGTGGAGCTTCAGGAACAGAAAGGAAGCTTCACCCTTTGTGCACTAAGCTATTCTTTTCCCCACTGTCTTTTATCTTTCTTTTTTATCTGTCTAGAGCTCAGCTTTCTACTTTAAAGTCATATACTAAATTTTTGGCTGAGGATTTATGCTACTTATATAAAAATATCATATATGCCATAACTCACCATACTCTATCAAACAATAGAATGTAGAGGTCTGACTCAACAGAAACATTTGAGAGTTATTAAAAATATGTGAAAGTATATATACTTCTCAAAAATATTTAAAATGCTTATAATATAATTATATGTTGCAAGAGTTGCAGTTAAACAGATACACTACAAAACATGAAAGCACAAGAAACAGTTTCATTGGCCACGAATATTTCTTACAACTCTCAAGACTAACACATTTTTATCTCTCTTTTCCGTTATTTCTTCCTTCCCATTGTATTCCCATTTTATTGCTAAACACATCTCATCTTTATGTAAATAGAAGGGACAACCCTAGGGCTATAATTTTAAGCAATTTTCTTTATGCTTATCCTGGTTCTGAAGGACATAGGCATACGGATAAATTAGTTTATGATTTCTTATACCACTTGGAAAACTTAACAGACTTTGCTTGATCAAGGTACAAAGATTAGAGAAAGTTTTTCTGAACTTCTATCATTTAGATAGCAGAAATAATCTATTTCTATGTACAATTACAGATTTAGATAACCCTATTTTACACATGAGTTTCTCATCAGTAGTAACTCAGAATGGATCAGATAATTGATAAAGAGAAAAAACAAAGAGTAGCAACAAGTAAACCTCCAGGAACTCTACTTGTAATATGTCTACTTCATTCTTAAACCTTTGCATATCTTGCTGTCATTTTCCTTGTAGATATATTTTTGATGTTCTGTCATGATGTAGTGGTAAAGAACTCACATTTTCTAATTCAGGCACCATGATTTTATAGTTGCTAGCACTGAGACTGTCACAGAATGGCTTCTGGAACAAGTCCTGTATTGCTTTTATTTTCTTCTAAGTGTCTATATCTGCAGAAATACTGTGGCTTTTTTTTTTTTTTTTTTTTTTTTTTGAGATGGAGTGTCGCTCTGTCGCCCAGGCTGGAGTGCAGTGGTGCGACTCAGCTCACTCCTTTAATTTGAATCATGTTTTATCTCTCTGGAGGGGGTACCCCATGAATCTAAAAAACATTTTGGATCACTAGGTAGAGGCATATGCCTGATGTCTAATTTGGTGCCTCATGGTATCTTGGTCATATTTTTTCATCATTTGCATATCAAACTCTTGACTTTCTTTCATTTCCATTGTAACAACTTCTGGGTCCCTTGCTTTCTTTTTTTTCTTTTTTTTTTTTTTTTGAGGAGTCTCGCTCTGTTGCCCAGGCTGGAGTGCAATGGCACGATCTCGGCTCACGGTTCCTTGCTTTCTTAGAGTCTCTATCATTATAAAAATTCTCCTCATCTATGTTAAAAACATGTTCATTATCTGGTTTGTTATTTTCACAGTCTAATTTATTTTCATTTAAATAAAGCTTAGAAGATTCCTGGCAAACATGTACCAAAAACCCAGAACATGAATGAGATATACACACATTTTTGAGACTGGGTTCCATGTGTTCAACAAAATGCCTGGAAGGCTACAAAGACAGACACTCCAGATGCATCTTTTTCCCTCACAAGTATATTATTTGTCCAATTGGAAGGAATTTCCTTTATGTTTGTTTCTCCTTTTGAGCTATCATGGAGTGGCTTCAGAAAAAGCAGTAATTTGTATTTTTCACAGATTTCACCAAACCTCTGATTTAACTCATTTGTGAGAAGTTTTAATTTATTTTCCCACTCTAATTTGCCTCATTTAATACACATTTCCTCAGACTTTTACACAAAACAGTCCTGAATATACAGACATATCCTCTCTATCCAATCCTTATTTTATTCTTGTTCTTGAGATATTTTTGGCAGATGCAAAAGGGGAAGATTAATTTGCTTGTTTTGTTTCTCAGAAGTTATCTTTGTCAGAGTGCATGTTTTTGTTTTTATTTATTTTTTTATCATACATATAATTTGGTTTATTTTCATGAATATCTTTCTAAGGCAATGGGTAATTTCTCCAAGGTCATAATTAATGATTACATACAATTTCGCTCATATACTCTATTTTATCGGACTATCATTTACTTAGTTGCCTACTATTGGGCATGCTATTGTTTCTAACATTTCATTATTATTAATAGCACAAAGCAAAAATGAATTGTAAAAATTGGTTGTAAATAAAAATGAAATGCATTTTGAATTGTAAAACAAAAAACAAAACCTTCCAACATTTAAACACAGACAAAATAGACTCAGAACAATTTTGAAAAAATTCCCCCAGGTGCACCAGTTACCAACACCATCTGCTATACATATTCATTTTCAAACAATTAATTGTCATGGTCTCACTCTGTTGCATAAGTTAAGAGTGCAGTGGTGCAAACGTGGCTCATTGCAGCCTCAACCTCCTGGGCTCAAGTGATCCTCTCATCTCAGCCTCCCATATAGCTGGAAACACATGCACATACTACCATGCTTAGCTAATTTTTTTAAAAAATTTTGTAGAGATGGGGCATCACCATGCTGCCTAGGCTGGTCTTGAACTCCTGGGCTGAAGCAATCCTCCCACCTCAGCCTCCCAAAATACTAAGATTACAGGCATTAGCCACTGTGCCCAGCAGGGAGCATGTTTTTAAAATAACTTTATTCTCAATAAAGTATAAAGAAAAAAATTTAATTAAAATTAAAATTTAATTGTTAAACTTCTTCATGTATGTTTAGCTTCTCCCAAATCACAGGGAGAAGTAAAAAGTAATTTGCCTTAGCTAAAACTACAAGAAAAAAACAAACCAGCAAACTTAACTTTGGCACTGTTGTTTGGACTAAATTCATTTTGTGTTATATCTACCAAAACATGAATTAGCAGATGGTTAGTAGTGTTACAAAAGTGTCCTCACTTGAAAAGATTTTACCTCAGCATACACTAATTAGTGAGCACATGCGGTGCATTTAAGTACTTTTTCTAAAGATTACTAACTGGACTGTAGGCAAACTTTGTTAGAAGCCAAAATCAATACAAATCAGAAAGAAAAGCAAATTCTCAAATTATAATTCAAATTATATTCTGTAATATGACACTCTGATGTATCCGGTTAAGTCTGCTTAAGTCCAGTTCTAATATATTCTAATATCCACCAATGATGATGGATTAAAAATTTTATACTATTTACTGACTTCCTGCATTGAAATAAGTTAGAAAGTTATTGTTCATATCCTAATACCAAAGGTCCCATTCTGCAGAGTATGGTTCTCTTAATAAACAGTTAGGTTGATTTTATGACCCAGGTTTCTTCCTAAACATGACCTGAAGTCAATGAGAGACCGTGAGGCAGAATACATCTTTAACCTTGGCATTAGTGACTGGCAATATAAAACTGCACATTTTGAACCACTGGCCATCATGACTCCTTTAACATGAATCCAACTCAATGGCCATCACCCTTAAATTGTTCATAACTTCTGTTGCTCAATAATATGATTTAATAATTCATGTTACTTTCTTCATCATGCAAACATGTTAATAGAGATGAAAGAGTAAAGAAAATTTTGAAAATGTTTTCTCTCTATTCCAAGGGTAAAGATGAGCTATAAGTTACTATAGATTTTAAAAATCTTTTAAGTTTTATAGCTAGTTAAATGTATTTAAAATTCAATACTAAATAGTAAATTAGAATCTATTGTTATCAAAGGCTAATCTGAAAGGTAATTTCATTTGGACTACCCTACATTATTAAAGCAAAGAACATAATAGTCAACAAGAAATTTAAATGAAATTGTTGTATACTTGTAGCTCGTTGTTTTCACTTTCTTCAAGTCTTTCTTGCTCTTCCTCTGATATCACTGCTAAGACTTGTTCTGCTGAAAAAATTATACATTTAGTTAAAATGAACTACTCACAACAGGTAGATTAAACTATAGTCTTTATGAAAACAGATTAAAACTAATATTTCATTTTATTCTATAAGTTGTGAATTTAAAGGAAGCTTAATCTTTAGCAGGATATTTACTTCTTTAATAAATACTCCTAAGTCTTAAAACTTCAAGAAACCACCTGGGGAGACACTAGATGTCACCAGGTTGAAGATAAACACACATGTCAAACATTCACTCACAAATGTATCTACCAAACATAAATAAAGAAAATCATCACAAAGAAAATAAAATTTTAAAATGTGAGCCCTGGGGCCTTAAGTGAACATTGGTGATACCCCGGCAGGACTCCTCCTAGGTCTGTGGTGGTGGTGGACATGGGAAGATATTCCTCTGCCTGGGGAAATGGGAGGGAAGAGTGGAAAGGACTTTGTCTTGTGGTTTCAGTGCCAGCTTAACTGCAGTAGAATACAGCACCAGGTAGATTTCTAAGGTTTCCAACTTCAGGCCCTGGCTCCCGGACAGTATCTGTGGCCCCACCTGGGGCCTGAAGGGACTCTCACTACCCTGAATGGAAGGACATAAGACTGGCTGACTTCACCACCAGCTGATTGGGAGCCCTACAGGCTTGAGCAGTCTGATGCAGTGAAATCCCAGTGGTGGTGGACACAGAGGTGCTTATATAAATCCTCCCCCAGCCCCAGGCAGCACAGAGACAGACTCCATTTGTTTAGGAGATAGTAAGGGAAGAGAACGAGAGTTTATGTCTGGTAATTCAGAGACTTCTTCCAGCTCTTATTGAACAACCACCAAAAGCATGTCTCTATGAGGCTGCAAACATGACAGAATTACTGGGCTTAGGTTCCCTGACCCCTAATGCAGATATGGGTGCAGTGACCAAAAGCATAGACACTATACCCAAGTCCCTTTTAGTACTTGGAAAGCCTTCTCAAGAAGAATGAGTACAAACAAGTCCAGATTGTGAAGATTACAATAAACACAAAGCTCTTCAATGCCCAGACACAGACAATCATCCACAAACATAAAGACCATCCAGGAAAACATGACCTCACCAAGTGAACTAAATAAGGCACCAGGGGCCAATTCTAGAGAGACAGAGATATATGACCTTTCAGACAGGTAATTCAAAACAGCTGTGTTGAGGAAACTCAAAAACATTCAAGATAAGACAAAGAAAAAAATTCCAGAACTCTATCAGATAAATTTAGCAAAGAGATTGAAATAATTAAAAAGAATCAAGAAGAAATTCTGAAGGTGAAAAATGCAATTGATGTACTGAAGGATGCATGAGTCCCTTAATAGCAGAACTGATCAAGTAGAAGACAGAACCAGTGAGCCTGAAGATAGGCTACTTGAGAAAACACAGTCAGAAGATACAAAAGAAAAAGGTATAGAAAAGAATGAAGCATGCCTACAAGATCTAGAAAATAGCCTAATAAAGCAATTCCAAGAGTTAATGGCCTTAGAGAGGAGGAAGTGAGATAGATGGGAGAAGAAAGTTTATTCAAAGAAATACAAAGTTCTTCCTAAACTTCAAGAAATATATCAATATTCAAGTCCAAGAAGGTTAGAGAAAACCAAGCAGATTTAACCCAAAGAAGGCTACTTCAAGGAACTTAATAATCAAACTTACAATGATCAAAAATAAAGAAAGGGTCATTTATCCCTGCATCAAGCAAAGAGAAACAAATAACATACGATGGAGCTGCAATACAACTGGAAGTAGACTTTTTGGTGGAAAGCTTACAGGCCAGGAGAGAGTGGCATGACATATTATGACACATATTTAAAGTGCTGAAGGAAAAACACTTTTATCTTAGAATAGTATATCCAGTACAAATGTCTTTTAAATATGAAGGAGAAATAAAGATTTTCCCAAACAAAGGCTGAGAAATTTAATCAATACCAGACCTGTCCCACAAGGAATGCTAAAGAGAGTTCTTCAATCTGAAACAAAAGAATGTTAATGAGCAATAAGAAACAACCTGAAATCAATGAATCTTACAAAACTCACTGATAATAGTAAGTACACAGACAAACATAGAATATCACAACACTTTAATTAGGGTATGTAAACTACTCCTATCTTAAGTAGGTTTGAAATCCTCATAGTAACCTTAAATCTAAAAACATACAATGGATACACACACACACAAGCAGGAAATTAAAACATACCAACAGAGAAAATCACCTTTACTAAAAGGAAGACAAGAAGGAAGAGAAGACTACAGAATGATTAGAAAATAAATTACAAACTAACAGGTGTAAGTCCTCACTTATCAATAACAACATTGAATATAAATAACTAAACTCTCCAATCAAAATACATAAATAGAATGAATGAATTAAAAATAAACAAGACCCAATGATCTTTTGCCTACACATAGACTGAAAATAAAAACATGACATATGATATTCCCTGCCAATGAAAACTAAAAAAGAGAATCAGTAGATATATACTTATATCAGACAAAATAGACTTCAAGAAAAAAACTGCAAGAGACAAAAAAGGGAACTGTATCATGATAAAGGGGTCATTTTAGCAAAAGGATATAACAATTTTAAATATATATGCACCCAACACTGGAAAACCTAGATAAATAAAGCAAATGTTACTAGAGCTAAAGAGAGACAGAGAACACACCCTCAATACAATATTAGCTGAAGGCTTCAATACCCCACTTTCAGAATTTCACAGATCATCCAGATAGAAAATCAACAAAGAAACATCAGACTTAATCTGCCCTATAGGCCAAGTGGACCAAATAAATGTTTACAGAACATTTCATCCAACGGCTGCAAAATACACATTCTTCTTCTCAGTACGTGGATCATTCTCAAGAACAGGCCATATGTTAGGCCAAAAAACAAGTCTTAAAACCCTCAAAAAATAGAAACTATCAAGTATCTTGTGGGACCACAATGGACTCAAACTAAAAATCAATAACAAGAGGAATTGTGGAAACTACACAAGCACATGGAAATTAAATAACATGCTGCTGAATAACCTGTGAGTCAATGAAGAGATTAAGAAAATAAATTGAAACTTTTTCTTAATAATGGAACAAGAACCAAAACCTATATGATACTGTGAAAGCAGTGCTAACAGAGATGAGTACAGCTATGAGTGCCTGCATCAAAAAGGAGACAAAACATTAAGTAAACAACCTAACGTTGCATCTTAAAGAATTAGAAAAGCAAGATCAAACCAAACCCAAAGGTAGCAGAAGAAAAGAAATAACAAAGATCAGAACAGAAATAAATGAAATTAAAGCAAACAAAACAATACAAAAATCAACATAACAAAAACTTGATTTTTTGAAAAGTTACATAAAATTGACAAACCTTTAGTCAGACTAAGAAAAAAGAGAGAAGACCCAAATAAATAAAATCAGAGATGAAAAAATAGTCATTCAAAAACAAGCAATCGGGAAAGGATTTCCTATTTAATAAAAGGTGCTAGGAAAACTGGCTAACCATATGCAGAAAACTGAAACTGGACCCCTTTCCTTACCTTATACAAAAGTCAACTGAAGATGGATTAAACACTTAAATGTAAAACCCAAAACCATAAAAACCCTAGAAGAAAATCCAGGCAATACCATTCAGAAAGTAGGTATGGGCAAGAATTTTATGACGAAATCACCAAAAGCAATTGCAACAAAAGCTAAAATTGACAAATGGGATCTAATTAAACTAAAGAGCTTCTGCACAGCAAAAGAAACTATCATCAGAGTGAACAGGCAACCTACAGAATGGGAGAAAATTTTTGCAATCTACCCATCTGACAAAGGTCTAATATCCAGAATTTACACGGAACTTAAACAAACTTACAAGAAAAAAAAAAAACCATCAAAAAGTAGGCAAAGAACATGAACACACACTTCTCAAAAGAAGACATTTATGCAGCCAACAAACATATGAAACAAAAGCTCAACATCACTGATCATTAGAGAAATGCAAATCAAAACCACAATGAGATACCATCTCATGCCAGTCAGAATGGCGATTATTAAAAAGTCAAGAAACAACAGATGCTGGCAAGGCTGTGGAGAAATAGGAACACTTTTACACTGTTGGTAGGAATGTAAATTAGTTCAGCCCTTGTGGAAGACAGTGTGGCGATTCCTCAACGATCTAGAACCAGAAATACCACTTGACCCAGCAATCCCATTACTGGGTATATACTCAAAGGAATATAAATCATTCTTTTATAGAGCTACATGCACATTTATGTTTATTGCAGCATTATTCACAATAGCAAAGACATGAAACCTACCCAAATGCCCATCAATGATAGACTGGATAAAGAAAATGTGGTATATATATGCCATGAAATATTATGCAGCCAGAAAAAGGAATGAGATCATGTCCTTTGCAGGGACATGGATGAAGCTGGAAGCCATCATCCTCAGCAAACTAACACAGACACAGAAAACCAGATATCTCATGTTCTCACTCATAAGTGGGAGTTAAACAATGAGAACACATGGACACAGGGAGGGGAATAACACACACTGGGGCCTCTCAGCAGGAGGATGGGAGGGAGTGCATCAGGACAAATGGCTAATGCATGCAGGGCTTAATACTTAGGTGACAGCTTGATAGGTGCAGCAAGCCACTGTGTCACACATTTACCTATGTAACAAACCTGCACATTCTCCACATATATCCCAGAACTTAAAGTAAAATTAAAAAAAAATAAAGGAAAAGCAGTCATTACAACTGATTCTGTAGAAATTCAAAGATTGTTAGAGGCTACTGTGAAAAACTATATGCCGATAAATTGGAAAACCTATAATAAATGATTAAATCTCTAGACACACATGACCCACTGAGATTAAACCATGAATAAATCCAAAACCTGAACAGACTAAGAATAAATAATGAGATTGAAGCCAGCAAAGTTTAGGGGACCCAGCGAAGTCTCCCAGCAAAGCCTAGGACCTGATGGCTTCACTGCTAAATTTTACCAAATATTTGAAGAAGAAGTAATACCAATGCTACTCAAACTATTCTGAAAGACAGAAGAGAAGGGAATAATTCCAAACTCATTATACAATGCCAGTATTACCCTGATACCAAAATGAGACAAAGACACATCAAAAAAAGAAAACTACACATCAATATCTCTGATAAACATTGATGCAAAAAATCCTCAACCAATACTAGCAAAACAAATTCAACAACACATTTCAAAAATTATTCTTCATAACCATGTAAAATGTATCTCAGGAATGAAAAGATGATTCAATATATGCAAATTAATCAATGTGATATAGCATATCAATAGAATGAAGAATAACAATCATATGATCATTTCAACTGATACAAAAAAAAAGCATTGGGTAAAAATGCAATATCCCCTTATAATAAAAACCCTCAAAAAACTGGGTATAGAAAGAACATACCTCAACACAACAAAAGTCATATACAACAGACCCATAGCTAGTATCATAATGGGGAAATCCTGAAAGTCTTTCCTCTAAGATCTGGAACATGACAAGAATGTCCACTGTCACCAATGTTATTCAACATAGTACTGGAAGTTCTAGCTAGAGCAACTAGACAAAAGATAGAAATGAAGAACATCTAAATAGGAAAGGAAGAAGTCAAATGATATAATAATATAATCTTATGTTTGGAAAACCTAAACACTTCATTAAAAAACTATTAGAAATGATAAATTCAATAAAGTGGCCGGATGCAAAGTCAACATACAAAAATCAGTAGCATTTTTAGATGCCAAAAGTGAACAATCTGAAAATAAAATCAAGGAAGTAATCTATCTCATTTACAAGAGCTAAAAATAAAATTAAATACCTAAAAATTAACATAATCAAAGAAGTGCAAGATCTCTACAATGAAAACTGTAAGTCTTTGGTGAAAGAAAATGAACAGGACACCAAATAATGAAAAGATATTTCATTTTCATAAACTGGAAGAATCAGTATTTTTAAAATGTTCATACTACCCGAAGCAATCTACAGATTCAATGCAATCCTTATCAAAATACCAATGACATTCCTCATAGCAATAGAAAAAAACTGTCCTAAAATGTATATGGAACCACAAAAGACCCAGGATTGCCAAAGCTATCTAGAGCAAAAAGGAAGAAACTGGAGGAATCACATTACCTGACTCCAAATTATACTGCAGAGCTATAGTAACCAAAACAGTATGGTACTGGCATAAAAACAGACATATAGACTAACACAACAGAATAAAGAAGCCAGAAACAAATCCACATACCTACAGTGAACTCATGTTTGAGTTCATACACTGGGGAAGAAGAACATACACACTAGGGAAAAAGATAGGCTCTTCAATAAATGGTGCTGGGAAAACTGGATATCCATATGCAGAAAAATGAAACTAGACCTCTATCCCTCACCATATACAAAAAGCAAATCAAAATAGATTAAAGACTTAAAACTAAGTGCTCGAGCTATAAAACTACTAGAAGAAAACATTGGGGAAACTCTCCAGGACATCATTGTGGGCAACAATTTTTTGAGTAATATCCTACAAGCACAGGCAACAAAAGCAAAAATAGACAAATGGGATCACATCAAGTTAAAATGCTTCTGTACAGCAAAGGATACAATCAACAAAGGGAACAGACAACCCACAGAATGGGAGAAAATATTTGCAAGCTACCCATCTGACAAGGGATTAATAACCAGAATACACAAAGAGCCCAAATGACTATATGGGAAAAAATCTAATAATTCAACTTAAAAATCGGCAAAAGATCTGAATAGACATTTCTCAAAAGAAGACATACAAATGGCAAACATGCATATGAAAAGTTTCTCAACATCATTGATCATCAGAGAGATGCAAATCAAAACTATAATGAGATGATGTCATCTCACCCCAGTGATCATGACTTATAGCCAAAAGAAAGGCAATAACAAATGCTGATAAGGATGTGGAGAAAAGGGAAACCTTGTATGCTGTTGGTGGGGATGTAAATTAGTACAACGACTATGAACAATAGTTTGGAGGTTCCTCAGAGTACTAAAAATAGAGCTACCACATGATCCAGCCATCTCACTGCTGGGTATATACCCAAAAGAAAGGAAATTAATGTATCAAAGAGATATCTGCACTCCCATGTTTATTGCAGCACCATTCACAATAGCCAAGATTTGGAAGCAACCTATGCCTTTCACAACAGACAAATGGATAAAGAAATTGTGCTACATATACACAATAGAGTACTAATCGGCCATGAAAAACAATTACATCCTGTCATTTGCAACAGCATAGATGGAACTGGTGGTCATTATGCTGACTGAAATAAGCAAGACACAGAAGAACCAACTTTGCATATTCTCATTTATTTTTGAAAACTAAAAATTAAAACAATTGAACTAATGGAGATAGAGTATAATAATGATTACCACAGGCTGGGAAGGGTGATGGGGCAGTGTTGGGGGAGGATGAGGTGATGGTTAATGGGTGCCAAAAAATAGAATGAATAAGATCTAGTATTTGACAGCTCAACAGTGTGACTAAAGTCAATAATAACTTAATTGTACATTTAAAAATAACTAAAACAGTATAATTATATTGTTTTTAACACAAAGGATAAATCCTTGAAGTGATGGATATCCTATTTACTGTGATATGATTATGATACATTGTATGCCTGTATCAAAATATCTCATGTACTCCATATCTACACCTACCTTGTACCCAAAAAATTAAAAATTAAAAATATACTTAAAAATTTAGTAGAAACATCCCTACATAGTAATGCAGTATACTATTCTCTGCTTCATGGTAGTACCTTACTGATGATTTCCAAAATGACTGTTTACACTTTTATCGATGTGCACCCTGTTCCCAATATCTGAAATGTTTTCCTTTACTATTCTGACAAATTTATTTTCTTCTTTTAAAACAGGTGGCTATGTGAAGTCTTCCTTGATTCTGGTGATTTTTTTAATTAATATCTTTATTCCCCAGATAACCAGGTGTCTCCTTCCTTGGGGCTGCCTTAGTATTTTATTAATTTTTCTACTGAATCTTTACCACCTGAACTGTACATTATTGCTTTACATGAATATCCCCTTTGCTCCTACACAATAGGGGACAACTTGCAAATCATCTTTGTATAAACAGCCTTTATATATTTTACTCAGCATTATTTATGGAGTCCTGCTATATGTCAGGCACCAGGGCTTAAAGAATGAAAATGAAGCATATAGAAAAAATACAGAAAATTAGCCACACATGGTGGTGTGTGCCTGTAATCCCAACTACTTGGGAGGCTGAGGCCGGACAATCGCTTGAACCTGGGAGGCAGAGGTGGCAGTGAGCCGAGATTGCACCATTGCACTCCAGCCTGGGCAACAAGAGTGAAATTCCATCTCAAAAAAATTAAAAAAAAAGAAGTCATTTTAAGAAGTTTTCTCTGGCTATTAGAATATACTAGTGCTCCTGTTTTTAAAGAGACATACTGTCAATCGACTTATTCTATGACTACAGTTTTTACCTTCTTCTTGCCCATTTACTACATATTTTGTCTTACAGTCTGTAGCCCCAGATACCTGACTGCCACCATTCTCTGCGTGATTCTTGGAGATCTTCTGTAAAAATTAATAATAACAATGAGTTTCAAGAAGATGAAAAAGAAGTAGTAGTTACATAAAGATTTCCCAAACACTTTCTTTTAAAGAAGGTGTTTTTCATTCAGATAACTTCAAAATAAGAAAAGCATGTGTTGGGAACCTAAATTATTCAATAGAGAACCTTACATAGATAGGCTGTCTAAATCAAACTTATTTTTTATCTTCACAGGGCTACTGCCTCTGCACACCCAGACTAAAAGCCTACAAGAAATATATTCACAGACCAAATAATAACTTACGTGCATATTGCAGCAAGAGACTAACTTCATAATTCCTAACTCCACCCTACATTCCCAACCAAAAATAAAAGACCATTTAAAATATGACATAACACACTTGGTGTTACACTTAAAGCATTAAATATTTAAATATTTAATACTAAATATTTAAAAGATTTCTAGTTACAGAAAATGTAAATGTTAAGACAGCACAATAAGAAACATGTGGCGTACATCATGTTGCGTTTAAACAGAACATGGTAGAAGCTCCTTCATTTAGATAAACAAGGGCTTGGAGAAATCTACACAGTCTTTGATATTTTTACTGATAGAAAAAATGGTTGAATACAACCACAAAGCAATGAGAAAACCTTTAGTTTATGTCTACATATAAGTAAGCAAATATTAGATATAGTAAGCAACACTCTCCCAGTAAAAAAAAACTTCAACAAAGTATATCAAGCCTTAGTATAAAAAGCAGAACAAGGCTGGGCGCGGTGGCTCATGCCTGTAATCTCAGCACTTTGGGAGGCCGTGGCTGGTGGATCACCTGCAGTCTCAAACTCCTGTTGGAGACCCACCAGGCCAACATGGCAAAACCCCACCTCTACTAAAAATATAAAAATTAGCTGGGTGTGGTGGCATGCTCCTGTAATCCCAGCTACTCCGAAGGCTGAGGTAGGAGAAGCCCCTGAACCCGGGAGGCGAAGATTTCAGTGAGCCAATATCACGCCATTGCACTCCAGCCTGGGCGAGAAGAGTGAAACTCCATCTCAAAAAAAAAAAAAGCAGAACAAGAACATTCAGAACATTCATTTGTGAAGCATTTAAAATGTGCCAGGCAACTTAATTTCACATTTTCTTTTCTACACATTATACTAATAAAAATAATGATGATGATGAAGATGATGATGGTAACCCCACTTTCTGGTCATTCCAGGATGTTAACAAGAACATGATGAACAGATGAGATCCACTGTTTCCTCTCTGTCCAGAATGTCCTCCTCCTAGACTTTCCCATGGCTGGCTCCTTTCATCCTTTAGTTGACAGTTTCAATGTCACATGCAGAAACATCTCCTCTGACTATAGAACTTTACTGCCACTCCCATCCCCATGCTAACTACAAACCTCTCCAATAATCTCTGTCTTCTCTGTTTTCTTTATAGGAAGCACATTCAACTTATAAGACTGGGTTATTTACTTGTTTTTCTCTTCTTGCTGCTGTAACCTAAGCCCCCATCATCGATATTCAGTCTCTAGTTGCCTAGCAGAGTTGGTGCTCAACAGCAGAAATTCACTCAAGGTCAAAACACTTAAATATCCATGGGAATGTCTCAAGCACCAAACCACTAGATTCCTAGAAGAGTTCTCTAGTAATAGTTTGCTGAAACTCCATGTTCCCCAAACTAGAAATCCACATGCCCACTCTGACTTTCCCAAACTTTTCTTGATGCTATTGTCATTTTATTGTCCTCTGAGTTTACATGAAGCATCCTCAATACTTATTGAGCCACCGAATACCCCTGTGGATCACTTTATTATACATTAGTGTACACACTTTCAAGTTTACAAAATGCTTTCCAATTTTTTAGCACATTTGTTCATTACACATGCCTAAGAGGTACATACTAGTACCCTTTTTATGAAGGGCATCACTCGACATTCAAATAGGTTAAATAATTTTTACCAGAAATTCATAGCTAGTAAGTAAAAGCACCAGGATAACAACATGTCTTTTGACCAACTTGGTGCTGGTATCACAATACAGCTACTGCTTCTAAGAAGCCAGGCCCCTTCATCTCTTTCTACTGTTGTCACCTTAGAATAGTCTTCATTTACCATAAAGGTACTCAATGTTTTCTTTTTTAAAATATGATTTCTACTTAATAAAACACCACTAAACCAAAATACTGTGTTTATAGCTTCACTTATTTACAACTCCCCATGCTTTTGCTTCTTCTGAAATTTTTTTGCAGATCTATACTAGTCAATCCAAACACGGTAGTATTTTAAGTCCCAGGCATTGTCTTTTCAGGTTTCAAGTTGTACAAAACTACAGTCCAAACTCTTTCTCTCTGAATCTCGTTAGCACTTTTACACATCCAGGTAGAACACAGAATCATGCATTCAGCCATATATCGACATGGAACAATTTTTTAGTTTCTAGATAAACTTAACTTTAGAGCCCAAACTGATTCCTTGTGACTTCTAACCCTGATATTTTTTGCGCTATATGACACTGGCTTTTTACACGAATCCTCCAAATTAACAGAATTGTACTATGCAGCAGTGATATACTTTGTACATAACTACTGTACTAATTATGGGCTGATAATGGAAGAATATAAATTTTTTGAGACGGAGTCTTGCTTTGTTGACCAGGCTGGAGTGCAGTGGCACGATCTCAACTCACTGCAACCTCCACCTCCTGGGTTCAAGTGATTCTTCTGCCTCAGCCTCCTGAGTAGCTAGGATTACAGGTGCACACCACCACATCTGGCTAATTTTTGTATTTTTTTTAGTAGAGACTGGGTTTTGCCATCTTGACCAGGCTGGTCTCAAACTTCTGACCTCTGGTGATCCACCCGCCTCGGCCTCCCAAAGTGCTGGGATTACAGGCGTGAACCACCTTGCCTGGCCAGAAAATAATTATTTATGGGCATATGCAGAGGTGCAAAAGTGAAGTGAAAGCATTCTCTTTTATGTTGTAATATCACTGAATGCTTATTTTCTAAAATAATAACTGCAGCAATAACAATATATAATACCTTGCTGTCCAAATGTGATTGCATGTCTTCCTTTTGTCCTGATTTTACTGTGAATGGCATATCTATAAAATGTTATACACAGATACATTCATGAGAAAATTTATCACTATGAATTTTATATACCTATACAGGTTTGTCTTCACCCATAAATATTTCAGTGAAACAAAAGTAATAACAAAAAGAAAAAGAAAAAGAATTTCAGGGAATTGAGGAATTGAAGTAGTTTTAGGAAAAAGTTGGTAGTATAAAGAAAGACAGAAAAAAATTGTGGAAAAGAAATGAATATTATGTTTGGATCTATATAGTTCAGTGGTTTTTCTACTGAAAATACTTAATATACACTGTTTTTCAGAGATATTCACTAACTTACCACCTCGAACATTTCTGAATCAAAATTAAATGTTTTCATTATTTGTGTGCTCTTGTGGAGCACTCTCAATAATACCCATACCATTTTGTCTTTTTCCATTTGCTGGCTCTGTTGCTTTCTCCTATTAAAAAGAAAAGAACAGCAACTTCAGAAAACATTGTATTTACTCACTCACCCACTCTGTCAGTAAGACAAAAAAAATGTGCTGTTTATCAAATCATAAGCAGTATTTGGGGAGAAGCTAAAAATATAAATAAAAGTCAGATCCTGCCTTATATTTCAGTGAGGGTAGAGATATATAAAAGGTAATAAAAACAGAAAAGTGTAATCCATGAGTTCTACAACTAAAGTGAATAAAGTAAGTACAGGCACAAGGAAGAGAACAATCAGTTCTACTTGGGAAGCTCAGGAAATGCTGCAAAGATAGAGCCATATTTTGAAACATAGACCAAGTACACAGTGAGGGTAGGAAGGGTTTCTAGACAGAGAAGCATGCTCAAAAGAAGCATGCATGAAATGACAGGGCAAATGAAGGGTACCAAAATAATGCAGTAAAAGTGGAACATAGTCAGAGGGAATGGAATGGAGAGATAAAATGGGAGAATCAGGCCAAACCACAAGATATGGGCCACACTAGAGTGTGAACTTACCCCATCATGCAATGGGGAACAATTCAAAAGCAGATGAGTTATATATCATTATAAATATATTTTATAAAAGTCACCTTGGCAGCAACAAAAAGATAGAGATGAACATGGTGTGGGGAAGATTAAGAGTATTTCAAAATTATGAGTCAGAGAGTGAATTATGATAATGAGATATAAAAAATGCTTAGCAGGTAGAAAATATAGAATTTGCAAGGGACTGAACTGATGATTTGAGAAAGGGCTGAAAGGTAGAAATTTTCCTGCTTCATTGTTTCAGTGCTACTTACTAGGTGTTATTTCCTAGGATGATGAAACCAGATGACAGAGTAGATTACAAAACATCAGGAAAGGGTCAAGGACAATGTCTTCAGTGTGGGACATAACAAATTTGAGGCACCCAGAAAGCAAGAGTGGATGACCTTACTCAGGAAAAGCACACAATGTGAAGAAGAGGAATATTTTTAAATTATACTAAACTCAGAATTAAATCATGCAAAACTATACACTTTTCTGAAATTTTGAAAATGAAAACAAGAGGAGAAAAAATCTTGAGATTCAAAATTTCTATTATATATTTCAACATTTGTTTCAAGGATATACAATATATTTTACTAATATACACAAATATTTATTTCTGAAATATTATGGTAATATGCATTTTAAATTGAATGAAAAGATGTAATTCTAAAACATCAACTCAAGATGCTGCTCAAGCAGGACCCCATATTCACATGAGGAGAGAAAATGGGTACTAAAAAATCAAGTCAGGCCAGGCACGGTGGCTCACTCCTGTAATCCCAACACTTATGGAGGCAGAGGTGAGAGGATAGCTTGAGTCCAGGTGTTTGAGACCTCCCTGGGCAATATAGTAAGACCCCATTCTCCACACACAAAAATCAAGTCAGCAGAATTCCTGAGTTTTAGAGATGCAAGAATTTATGTATAAGGTTTAACAACTATGAATACTAAAGTTAATAAAGCTTCCTGACAATAACATAAAATGTCTTTATTGCCAGAGATATTTTTAAAATTAGAAAATCATCTTCTAGAGATAACTGTTCATACTTTCTTGGAAATCTTAACTTTCTTATAATCCTATGATAACAGGTAGTTTATTTTAGAAAATCATAAATTTTGATTGCATTTTGATGTGTGCATGTGTGTTGATTATATACCAATATTATTAGAAATCAGGATACCTCCAGAAATAATTTCTGAATTTATCTCATTTACTTTAATATTTTTATTTATTTTTGTGGGTACCTAATAGGTACATTATGCAATATCAATACATATTTATAAGATACATGAGATGTTTTGATATAGGCATGCAATGTGAAATAAGCACATCATGGAGAATGGAGTAACCATCCTCTCAAGCATTTATCCTGTGAGTTATAGGCAATCCAATTACATTCTTTAAGTTATTTAAAAATATACAATTATTATTGACTATACTCACCTTATTATGCTAACAATAGTAGGTCATATTCATCCTTTCTATTTTTTGTACCCATTAACCATCCCCAACTCCTGCCAAACCCCACTACCCTTCCCAGCCTCTGGTAACCATCCTTCTACTCTATGCCCAAAAGTTCAATTGTTTTGATTTTTAGAACCCAGAAACAAATGAAAACATGCAATGTTTGTCATTCTGTGTCAGGCTTATTCGACTTAACGATCTCCAGTTCCATCCACGATGGTGCAAATGATTGGATCTCATTCTTTTTATGGCTAAATAGTACTCCATTGTATATCTGTACCATATTTTCTTTATCCATTCATCTGTTGATGGAACCTTAGGTTGCTTCCAAATCTTAGCTATTGTAAATGGTGCTGCAACAAACATAGGAGTGTAGTTATTTCTTTGATATATTGATTCCCTTTCTTTTGGATATATACACAGCAGTGGGATTGCTGGATCATATTGTAGCTCAATTTTTAGTTTTTTTAGGCATATCTGAACTGTTCTCCATAGTGGTTGTACTAATTTACATTCCCATCCATAGTGCACAAGGGTTCCCTTTTCTTCACATCCTCACCAGCATTTGTTGTTGCCTGTCTTTAGGATATAAGCCATTTGAGCTGAGGCGAGATAATATCTCATTGTAGTTTTGATTTGCATTTCTCTGATGATCAATGATGTTGAGTACCTTTTAATATGCCTGTTTTCCATTTGTGTGTCTTCCTTTGAGAAATGTCTGTTCAAATCTTTTGCCCATTTTTTGATTGGATTATTAGATATTTTTTCTATAGAGTTGTTTGAGCTTCTTACATATTCTGGTTATTAATCCCTTGTCAGATGGGTAGTTTGCAAACATTTTCTCCCATTCTGTGGATTGTCTCTTCATTTTGTTGACTGTATCCTTTGCTGTGCAGAAGTTGTTTAACTTGATGTGATCTCATTTGTCCATTTTTGCTTTTGTTGCCTGTGCTTGTGGAGTATTGCTCAAGAAATTTTTACTTAGACTATTGTCCTAGAGATTTCCCCAAAGTTTTCTTATACCAGTTTCATAGTTTGAGGTCTTAGATTTAAGTCTTTAATCCATTTTTATTTGGCTTTTGTATATGGTGAGAGATAGGGGTCTAGGCGAGATGCGGTGGCTCCCGCCTATAATCCCAGCACTTTGGGAGGCTGAGGTGGGCGGATTACCTGAGGTCAGGAGTTTGAGACCAGCCTGGCCAACATGGTGAAACCCCTTCTCTACTAAAAATAGAAAAATTAGCCAGGCATAGTGGTGGGTGCCTGTAATCCCAGCTACTTGGGAGGCTGAGGCAAGAGAATCACTTGAACCCGGGAGGCAGAGTTGCAGTGAGCCAAGATCGTGCCACTGCACTCCAGCCTGGGTGACAGATTCAGACTCCATCTCAAAAACAAACAAACAAAACAAAACAAAAAACCAAACAAACAAAAAAAAACATAGTGGTCTAGTTTCATTCTTCTGCATACAGATACCCAGTTTTCCCAGCACCATTTATTGAAGAGACTGTCTTTTCCCCCAGGGTATGTTCTTGGTGCCTTTTTCAAGTATATGTTCACTATTGGTATGTGGCTTTGTTTCTGCGTTCTCTATTCTGTTGCATTTGTCTGCTTTTATGACAATACCATGTGTCTGCTTTTATGACAGTACCATGATGTTTTGATTATTACAGCTTTGTAGTATAATTTAAAGTCAGGTAATGTGATTTCTCCAGATTTCTTATTTTTGCATAGGATAGCTTTGTCTACTCTGGGTCTTTTGTGGTCCCATATAAATTTTAGGACAGTTTTTTCTATTTCCATGAGGAATGTAATTGATATTTTGATGAGAATTGCATTGAATCTGTAGATTCTTTGAGGTAGTATGAAACTTTTAACAATATTGATTCTTCCAATTCATGAACATAGAATATTTTCCATTTTTTGGTGTTCTATTCCATTTCTTTACCAATGTTTTATGGTTTTCATTGTAGAGATATTTCACTTCTTGAGTTAAGTTAGTTCCTAGGTATTTAATTTTACATGTAGCTGTTGTAAATAAGATTACTTTCTTATTTCTTTTTCATATTGTTCACTGTTGGCATCTAGAAATGCTACCAATTTTTGTGTGTTAATCTTGTATCTTGCAACTTTACTGAATTCATTTATCAGTTCTAATAGTTTACTTGTGGAGTCTTTAGGTTTTGTCACATATAAGATCATATCATCTATAAACAAGGATAATCTGACTTTCTCCTTTCCAATTGGATGTCTCTTATATCTTTCTCTTGTCTGATTGTGCTGGCTAGAACTTCCAGTACTATTTTGAATAACAGTGATGACAGTGAGCATTCTTGTCGGTTCCACATCTTAAAGGAAACCCAAATTTGGGTTCCCCGTTCAGTACAATACTAGCTGTGGGTCTGTCATACATGGCTTTTATTGTTGAGATATGCTCCTTCCATATCCAGTTGAGGGTTTTTATCTTGAAGGGATGTTGAATTTTATCAAATGCTTCTTTGGCATCAATTAAAATTATCATATGCTTTTTATCCTTCATGCTGTTGATATGATGTGTCATGCTGATTGATTTGCATATGTTGAACCATCCTTGCATCTCAGGGATGAATCCCACTTGGTTGTGATAAATGATCTTTCTAATATATTGTTGAATTCACTTTGAAAATATTCCATTGAGGATTTTTGCACTTTAAATATGTCATGCCACTCTCTTACATGCCTCCTTACATGCCTGTAAGGAGGTTTCCACTGAAAAATCAGATTCCAGATGCATTGCGGCTCCATTGTCTGTTGTTTCTTTTCTCTTCCTGCTTTTAGAATCCTTTCTTTATCCTTGACCTTTGGCAGTTTGATTAACAAATGCTCTGAGGTAGTCTTCTTTGGGTTAAATCTGCTTGATGTTCTATGACCTTCTTGTACTTGGATATTAATATCTTTCTCCAGGTTTAAGAAGTTCTCTGTTATTATCCCTTTGAAAAAAAATTTCTTTCTTTCTTTCCTTTTTTTTTTTTTTTTGAGATGGAGTCTCACTCTGTTGCCCAGACTGGATTGCAGTGATGTGATCTCAGCTCACTGCAATCTCCACCTCCCAGATTCAAGTGATTCTTATACCTCAGCCTCCCAAGTAGCTGAGACTACAGGCATGTATCACCACACCTGGCTAATTTTTGTATTTTTAGTAGAGACGCGGTTTCACCATGTTGGCCAGGCTGGTCTCAAACTCTTGACCTCAGGTGATCCACCTTCCTTGGCCTACAAAAGTGCCAGGATGACAGGCTTAAGCCACCACGTCCAGCCTATATTTCTTGAAAAAGATGAAATTCTGTTTTTATAAGACTGGCTCTAATAAAGATGAACATTAGTGGTTTATTAGGGATATGGGCAAATCTGTCAAATTGCCACATCTCTGACAGCTGCTGTGTGAGGCTCATGAGTAGTGACTACTGAGTGGCCAGGACAGCAACAGGTGCTGCAGGAACAGGTGCTTCCTCACTGGTCACTGTATCTTGAAAACCCATGGCCCATGTCCCAAGGCATGGAAAGAGTTGGGGGGAGCCTCCCCACAGAAGCCACCATCACCTCAGGCCATGAGAAGTATTGCTAGACTACGGTCTATGTTCTCTTAAGGCCCAAGGTCTCTCAAGTCAGCTTGTCATAAATGCTGCCTGGCCTGGGACTCACCCTTCAAGGCTGTGGGCTCCCCTCTGGACCAGAGCATGTCCAAAAATGCCATCCAAGAGTCAAGTCTTAGAATCAGGGACCTTCAAGAGCCCACTTGGTGCTCTACTCCCCACCCCCATGGCCGTGCTGGTGCCTAAGGTGCAAGACAAAGTCCCCTTTATTTTTCCTTCTGCTTTTCTTAAGCAGAAAATATTTTGCCCTATAGCCACCACAGCTGGTTATATGCTGAGTCTCACCTCAGGCCAGCAAGTCACAGAGGCTCACCCAAGGCCTTTGATGTAGTACCTGGGTGTCACCGTTGTTTATTAAGGGCCTAAGGGCCCTTCAGTCAGCAGGTGAGGAATACTGCCAGTCCAGGACTGGGTCCTTTCCTTCAAGGCAGCGGGTTCCCTTCTGGCCCAGGGTGTGTCTAGAAATGTCATCAGAGAGCCAGGGCCTGGAATGGGGGCTCCCAACTCTGACCAGTGCCCTATCTTGCTGCTGTGGCTCAGCTGGTATCTTAGATGTAAAACAAAGTGCTCCCCGCTCTGTCTTCTCCTCTCCTCGGACAGAAGGAAGGGGCCTTTATCGGAGCTGTGAGCTGTGCAGCCTGAGGTTAGGGGAGGGTTGATGCCAACACTCCCTTGGCTACCCCAGCTGGTATCTCAATATGGCATATCTTCCCCACCCAGCTTGTTGTCTCTTGGCCTAGCTCAGCACTAGGACTCATCTGTGAGTCGCAGTCCTTATGGCCTAGACTGTCTTTTGACATTACTTGGAGACACAGGGTGCTGTAGCCCTCAGTGGCAAGGTTTACAGGCACTTAAATTCAGACCACTGGGACTGGTGATTTTCCTCTGGCTAGGGCTGGTTTAAATACTCCCTCCATGGGTGGACATCAGCTGAGTTTGGTCTAATTTTCCTTTTTGCTCTAACAGAACAGCACTGAGTTCACAGCCTCACACTTGCTGTGTTCTCCCTCCCCCAGCACTCAGAGACACTCTCCACACTACGTCAGGCTGCTAGGGATGGGGGAGGGGTGATGTCAGCCATTCAGGACTTTAAAAAATCTCTTCAGTGCCTCTTTCAGTGACATTAAGTTAAAACTAGGTACTGTGAGTGTTCACCTTACTTTTGGTTATTATGAAGTTGTTTTTTCCTGTGTAGATAGTTGTTAACTTGGTGTTCTTGTGGTGGTGGGGAACAGTGGAATTTCTATTTCTCCACCTTCTTCCCTGAATTTATTTAAGAGGATTTTACCTTGAAATTTATTTTCTCACCGAATGGATAAAATTAAGAACCTCCTTTATAAACCAGAAATTTTAACTAACGAAAAGATTAAATATAATGTATTTATTTATTTTCTTTATTCTCAGAAACATCTAAAATGGCTCTCAAGATTATATGAAAGAGTAAGATAAATTAGTTAAGTCATGGATATGCCAAACACTAAGTTAGAAAACTTAAACAAGAAGCAAGAGTCAAAAATTAAGAATTCATAGTAAATCTGATAAGGCCTAAAACAGATTTCACTGTGCATTATTTATAAACAAGGTTTTACTAGATCAAATATATGATATAACTTTGCTAAATTCAAAGATGTGAGGATATAAATTTCCTTTTTAAAAACTGATACATAATAGATGTGCATATTTTTGAAGTAAATGTGATAATTTGATACATTCATATAATCAAATCAGGGTAATTGGGGTACCCATCACCTTAGTTTTCTTTCAAATGTATAGTAGATTAATGTTAACTATAGTCACCCTTATATTTTCTTTCAGTTCTTCATAAAAATCAGCTATAAGACATTCAGAGGAATCTCAGCAATTTTTTTTATTACCTGTCTTTCTTTTCTTAATTTGCATTTAAAATAAGTTCTATCATATTTTATAATGTAAAGAGTTCCTGTGCTCATTAAATCCCACAGTTTCTGATGTGTTTTTACAATAATCTGACAACTTGACTCTGTTACTCAATCTTTACATTTATCTTGCCTCTCTTTAATAAATTCTTTCCCTTCATCCCCCTCTTTAGCTCCATATTCGTTAAGCTGCTGTGGTGGGTTGCTTTCTAATTCTTTAGCATAAGTTATTTCTGTTCTGTTTCTCAAAAAGCTAAGGACAAATCATTGTATCAATTCAGCTCCTTCCAAGAAACAGAGAAAAAAAGAATAAATCTTGTAGGGCAATGATAGATGAATAAAAGTCTCACATAGCTACTACGTAGAAAGCTACACTAAGTATGCTGGCAGTAAAGACACATGGATTGAAAGAAGAGACGTTGTAGAGAATGTGTTCTAGGAGGAAAAACATAGGTTGGGATAAATCACTTTTAAAAGATTGGGAAGGAGGGAGAAAGAAAGAAACAAACAAACAAAAAGACATAACTTGACCAGTCAATCAAGTTTGAGCTTGAAAGAAAGCCAAGGAATAAAGCCAAAGCCAAGGAAAAGGAGAAAAACATCACATACAGTAAGGTACATGGAGAAATATAGATGTAGAGACTTTGGTTCATAGTATATTTCCAATAATACTGAGTAGTATTTATAACTAGCTTTTGGTAAACATTTCTGTGATATAGAATTGAATTGTATACTGTAAAACGAGACATTCAATTAGTTAAATATGGTCATATACCACTACCTAAAAGCTGGAACATTACTACCTCAGAGAGAGAAAAATGGAAAAAGAAATATTCCATTAACTTTCTACTTGGAGGAAAAATACTAATCAGAATTCTAAGCAGTAATATATGGATTGAAAACATATATTTAGCAGAACATGGGTTGGGGCTTTTAAAAGTTTAAATATTTTAAATCTAAAATATTAATTTATGCTTATAGTTGGAAGACACTAGAAAAGATATTAACACTTTAACCCTATTTCCTATTGATGATCTATTTCTAATTTATTTTCTTATTTATGACACACTTTTTCAATATAACTCATCTGAATTTATACATCCTAAATATTAAAAGGGAATATAAATTTAGGCTATATCTTATAAATGAATGGATTTATTTATTAGATATGTTACGCATATTATATTATTGCTAACATTCCATTGTATAGAAATGCATTTGTCTTTTCATTCGTAGTACTCCAGGATACAAAAAAAAAAAAAATTCCCTAACCTCCAGTAGCTCATAGTAATAAAGGAGTTTTTAAATGATTACTAAATAAATACAAAAACTTCTGAAATTTGAAATTTTAGCATGTGATGTAAGGATTTAGTTTGGATATTTTTAAGAACTACAATACAAATAATTCTGAAATTAAGTCCCACCATATGGTTATTAAGAGTCTTTGCTTCTAGAACTGGTTGTTATTTTGGACAAAGCAACTATTCTTCAATTAGGTGAAGAGTTTTAAATGTAGTCTTAATGAAATGACATAGAAAACACAGTGGAATCTCATTGTAATAAAGATTTTGAGAAACAAAATGTAAATTTCTGAATTTCCACAATTTTTTTAAAAATCAGAGGCAGGTTCTTGCTATGTTGCCCAGGCTGGTCTCAGACTCCTGGGTTCAAGCAATTCTGCCACCTCAGCCTCCTGAACAGCTTGGACTGCAGGCATGCACCACCATATCCAGCTAAATTTTCACAATTTCTAATATTATTTTAGTCTAGTTACATAACCAAGGATAGAAATAGGAAAAAATCTCACACCTAAAAACTATATATATCATACTAAAATAATGTGTCTAAGAAAGAAAAGTATATGCTATCTGCTGTACAGTTTTTGAACCAAAAGGCATCAAGGAGATTCCATGATTACTATAATAAGTAATTAGATCCATTAAAGACTTATTTAGGCATAAGTATTATAAAAGCCATCTTGGTATAATTTAAAAGTCACACACAGTAAGAATACTTATTCAAATCAACCTTGACCAAATTTCAAACTTGCTCTATTATGAGAAAGCTTTGCCTAATATAATTTTCCTGTCACTATGTATTTTCCAGCCCATTGTTTTTTCACCCTCACTCCCTCTACATATTTGCCAAGTCTTTGTTATTTATCAAAGTAAAAAATGTTTGAAAATGTTTAGTCATGTTTCTATAAAATGGTTTTCTCTAATGAACTTTCCATAACCAACATAATACGATTATAAGTAGATTACTACTAAATTTCAAGAGAAAATGTTACAGAAAATTAGATTCAGAATGAGAAAATTAATTTTGCAAGAGACGTCTTTACCTCAGTATCAAAATCAAAGTCTTCATTAGCTGACATAGGTCGTGAGTCGTCAATAGATGGTTTGTTGAAAAGCCTTTAGAATAAAAATATACAACAAAAATGAGTGTGTTCATTTCTTTAAGCAATTTGAAGGTTCATAACTGGGTGCCCTCCCAAAACAAAACAAAAAAAAAAAGTAAATCTTGTGGAAGGTCAGCTATCTGTATTTAAAATAATGTCTCTTAACATAATTAAAATTTGGCCTCTGTTGTGGGAAAGATCTTAATTACCTATTTCTACTTCCTCCTCTCCAAAGCTATGGAATAGTCCATGAAGACTCACCCTTAGTTCCATAACAAATCATGACAGCTAATATATTGGTAGAGCCTAAGAATAATTGGGCTTCACAAATTATTTGTCCTGGAGGCAGAACTTAAAATCCAAGTAATGGCTGACATAACTTTTGTTACCTGAACTGGAAGAAACCTGATAACTTAAAATAAAGTAAAAAGATCCACTGTCCCTTCTCCATGATCTATCTCTGGTTCAAAGACCAATCTGTGTCACTTGAAAATGGCAGTCCTGGTTCTTCTGCTTGGAAACCTCTTAAGGAGGCCCCCATTGCTTCCCTTTTCCTTAAAATAGTACAGAATCTTCCCTGACACATCTAAAATACTTGAAAGCTAAATGTATGAATGTCAAAGGACAAATGTATATATTGTTATTAAAAATACTCTTCCCGGAGATACTAAAACTTAATTATAAAATCTAATTATTTTCCCTAAATAGACTTTGCCAAATTCAGGGCCACATAAAGTACTAAGCTCTTAAAAACCTCCATAGGTACTCAGACACCAAAGGAGAGAGACTCCTGGAAAAACAGAGTCCTGGTAGTTGTATCTCTATTTCCCTGAGAACTATCTAAATATCTCCCTTCCTATGGGCTCCCACTTCCAGATCCCTCTTCTGCAGGGCTCTATGGCAGTCTCCAACCTTTAAATCTTCAGCCAATAAAAGCACAAATTCCTAAAAGAGTAAGCTCAAATGACCAAAAGACAGAGCTCTCAATTTTACTGCTGCTAGAAAACAAGCTAAATGGAATTTCAGTCGTCTTCCCCCGGCATAGGCATGTTATCAACTACCAAACTGAAGGTCCATGACTGATTTGCCAGACAATCATGGAAATGGGAAGGACAATTGGTGAATTGGGAAAAGAGGCAGAGGTAAGAGGATACGTGCTCTGGGGCACAGATCTATATAGTTCAGGAAACTTCAGTCCTCTAGTAGTGGAGGGACTCTGAGCCATCCCTCTATAAGTTGGGGTGGAAGTAGATAATACTACAATTCAATCTGCTATAGAGACTCTTCTCAGTGGCTCAAATTCTTTTAACATCTTTCAATAGAAACTTCGAAGTTGGGTCAGTCACTCTAATTAAACAAACAAAAGAGCAGCAACCTGTTCAAGACTCCCTTGAACCACCTACTTAAACATGCCTTTCTAGATAACTCCCAACATCCTGTATTCTTCATTACTATAATTTATCTTTATAAAACTTGTCATAAACCCCAATATTCACTTCTCTTTTCTAAAAACCTTATTCCTATCCAATCCAGTGTTATTTCTCTTCAAACATGGCCTTACCCTATTAATTTAATTCTTCTCCTCTTCCATTGGGTTCCCCAGCTAATTCCCTTCCTAGGCTCATCCACTGTGTTCACTAGACCCACTTTCCCTTTCTATTATTAAAACACTTACTAACAGGATGATAAAGAAGGAAGAGTAATGGGCTTTGAAATGAGTTCAAATCTCATTTCTGCCACTTCCTATATCCAAATAAGTCATCTTAATCTCTTTGAGTTTCAGATATTCCATCTGAACAACCACTTCACCAGAATGTTAAACACAGGTTGAAGTACTAGAGGGTATTTTGATTAGTCACTAAGATTCCTTAAAATCCTGAAGTTGTGTGTGCTTTTGATTCTGTCTATATAAAAATGGGGAATACTTAGCTGGCAGAAATGGAAAAATAAAACAAAAGAAACACCACAGAAAGCAGAGAAGAAAGTTAACAACTAAAGTAAAGATTACAGAAAAGTAATGGAAGAAGAAAAAAGGACTCTTAAAAAAAAGCCCATGGAATTAGGCAGGGTAGTAGCCTAAAGGGAAAACTAAACTAAGGAGTCAACAAGTAGAGAAATCAATTAGAAATAGGCTCTATTTAGATGCTAAATATAACTAACATAATAAATAAATGTAACATAAATAGCCTTCACTTACAATAAAATAATTCCTCTCTAGGATATGACTGGTCTTGTCTATGTAAAACCCATGGTCCTGTGGCCATAGCTAAGTGAGATCTACCCTAAAATATGTGATGGTAAAAACAAGATACTGATTACCACTGAAATTGCCAAATACATTAAAACAAACTCAGACTAACCAGACTTCTAAGAAAAACTATAAATGAGAGTTAACTAAATTTGACTTTCTGAATTGATCTGGTTTGGACCTGTGTCTTGATTCCAGTGTTGTACAGGTCTCTGCCAATCTATGCAGAGGGGCAAGAGAAGGGATTTGGGAGCCAGGCAGGCTGCCAGTCAAATCATGCGCCAGCGTTAACTATGGGGACATGGGGCAATTAATCAACCTCTCTGAACCACAGTTAGCTAATTAGGAAAAAGTAGGTTATAATAACAGAGAACCTTTCAAAGCTGCTGTGATAACTATATGAGATGAGACAAGCACATAAAATAGTGTCTACCCCAGAGTACAACACTCAACAGATGTTAGTTTCTTTTCTCTATATTCCCTCAGGTAACATATAATATTTTAAAATCTGTAAGTCGTACCTTTTTACAGGATTTCCAGGAATCTCATCCACTATTAAAGAAAAAAATGCATTTTAAGTCAACAATAGAAAAACACAGAATATTGAAAGTATAAGAGGGCCCAGTGACACATGCATGTAATCCCAACTACTCAGGAGGCTGAGGCCAGAGGATCACTTGAGAAGCCCAGGAGTTTAAGACCAGCCTGGGCAACATAGTGAGACTCTGCCTTCATTAAAAAAAATCATGTACATTTTTGTGCATGCTTTAGATCTTTCTTTTTTTTCACAAAGTATTCCTTTAGGACCATATCTTGAGACTATACTAGAATTAATATTGATTATACTACTGGTAGGCAATTACTATATTAAGAATCCTTACTTCTCCTCCTTTGTATCAGTCAAAGCAAAAAAGAATGGGATTTGCCAAAATGTGATACCTACAAATGAATTGCTGTGTACAATAATCATAATCCTAACCAAACCCTATCAGACTGACTAGCATCGCTAGCAAACTGAGTCAAACTTCAAGAACATGCTTTCTGGACTAATGAACTAGTAGTAGTTAGAACAGAGTATACAGTAATGCTCCCATATCCATGACATGGGTGAAAAAACACACTCAACATATTTTTCCTCTGCTCTCACACCACAGCAACAATCACCAACACAGAAGACATCTCTGACCAAATGTTGGTGGGCGAGGGGGATTTATCCCCACCAACAAGCAAGCAATCAGTTCAGCAGCAGACACCAGCTGAGTGTCCTCTAATTCCATTCCCACGTTGTCTAGCTAGAGATAGTGTCAGATCCCACAGCTGAAAGCTCAGTCCCCAAGGCTTCCCCCTCCCCAAACCAGTCACAAGCCTGGGCCTTCAGAACCTCTGACCAACTATCTTCAAGGTTCTCACAACCCCCACCTTGGATTGGATTAATTTGCTAGAGTAGTTCACAGAACTTAGGGAACCACTTACTTACATTTCCTGCTCATTGTAAAGGATATTAGAAAGGATGTAGATGAGGAAGTGCATAGGGCAAGGCATGGGAGAAGGGGTGCAGAGTTCCATACCCTCTGAGGGTACACCACCGTCCAGGAACCACCACATATTCAGCTATCTAGAAGTTCTCTGAACCCAGTCCTTTTGGGTTTTTATAGAAGTTTCATTACACAGGCATGACTGATTAAATCAATCGTCATTGGTGATCAACTTAAACTTCGGCCCCCCTCCCTTCCCATGAGATTGGAAGGTTGGAGGACGGGGCTGGAAGTCCTAACCCTCTAATCATGCCTTGGTCTTTCTGGTGACCAGCCCCCATCCTGAAGCTCATTAGGGGCTGCCAGCCATAATGAATCATTCACATACAAAGGGACATCACTTTGGGGATTCTAAGGATTTTAGGAGTTGTATGCCAAGAAAAGGGTTCAAAGATCGAATACATATTTCACAGTATCACATCTGTGGTTTTGCTTTCTGTGGTTTTAGTCACCCACGGTCACCTGATATAGTTTTGCTGTGTCCCCACCCAAATCTCATCGAGAATTGTAGTTCCCATAATCCCCATGTGTCGTGGGAGGGACCCTGTGGGAGGTAATTGAATCATGGGGGCAGTTATCTGCTGTTCTCATGAGAGTAAGTGAGTTCTCACAAGATCCGATCGTTCTATAAGGGGCTTTTTCTACCCTTTGCTCTGCACTTCTCCTTGCTCTTGCCATATGAAAGAGGATGTGTTTGCTTCCCCTTCCACCATGATTGTAAGTTTCCTGAAGCCTCCCCAGCCCTGCGGAACTGCGAGTCAATTAAACCCCTTTCTTTATAAATTATCCAGTCTTGGGTATGTCTTTATTAGCAGTGTGAGAAATGCTAATACATCACCCATGGTCCAAAAATGTCAAATGGTAAATTCCAGCAATAAGCAATTCATAAGTTTTATATTGTGTGCTGTTTTCAGTAGCATGATAGACTCTCCAGCCATCCCATTCCATCCCATCCACAACATGAATATCCCTTTGTCTAGTGTATCTACACTGTATATGCTATGTGCCCATTAGTCACTGACTTCATCTCCTCCTGATATCCAACCAACATCATCATCAAGGCTCATTAATCCAAGATTACTGGAAGCAGATGATCCTCTTTCTGAAGGTTAATGGTAGCCTAACACTACTTCACAATGCCTATATCATTCACCTCACTTCATCCCATTACAGAGGCATTGTATTACCTCACATCATCTTCATAAGAAGAAGTGTGAGTACAGTACAAGAAGATACTTTGAGGGAATATACATACATATATATGTATAAACTTTTTTATAGCATATGTGAAGTCCTAATTAGAAAAAACAAAAAAAGAGTCAGGCTGGCAGGGCAAGAAGAAAGCAAAGAGATAAAGCAAATAAGCTATGTCTTCCTTTCTTCATGGTCCAGAAACTATTTTTAAAAAGAGGAACCAAATAAGTTATAGGTCTCATTTTCTTTCTGGCCCAGGACATATGGCCCTCCAGCACAGATAATGTATATAAGTCACAAACTTCCTGCTCACCGCCAAACACTTTAATGTATCAAACCCCTCAGCTGACAGAAGAATGCAAGTTAGATCCCTGCTACCTTGGCATTATCAGTCAGCCTAAGAACCATCCTATAAAATTTCCAGCAAGGCTTTGATCCCTGGCAGTAGGCTTTTCTTTTGCAGGCTGCCCATTGCCTTCTTGCAACATATTTTCATATCTTCTATAATGAATCTGCCTTTCTCTAACTGTCTTGGTAAATTATTTTACTGCCATGCCACTGGCCCAGATAGTTGGTACTCCCCTATGACAGTATATTGTTATCATTGTTCTATTTGATTATTAGTTATTGTTGTTAAGCTCAGACTGTGCCTAAATCTTACATTAAACTTTATCACAGATTTATATGTATAGAAACAACATTGCATATATAGGGTTTGGTACTATGCAAACTCTCAGGAATTCATTGTGGGTCTTGGAACATATCCCCCATGGATAAAGGGAGACAACTGTACTTATTTTGTTGTCATACAACATAGCTTCTCCAGCTCTTCAGTTAAAATGCTTTAGTTTAGAATAAAATGCCCTATCACAAGGAAGCTAGGTCTATGGGCATCATACTATGTTTTATGGCAAAACATAGAAAATAGACCAGAGACAAAGATTCTTGCAAATCACTTTCAGCTGCCAGTGGAGAAGAGCTCAAGACAAATCAATGTACTCCTTCTCACTAATCCTCTTCTGGGAAAGAGGCTAGTTAAATTTACTTAGTTCTAGCTAATTTATCTGCCCTATGTGTGATATAAATAAGGTTCAAATTTACTTACCATTTTACCTCCCATGGAAAGAACTACTGAAAAGATCACTTCCTTAAGAGTTTGCCCACTCTGAACCCTACCACTTATTCAGAGAGAAGCTTAAGAAGGAACAGTGCGGAAGGGGTGCCAAATGTCCAGGGAGTACTATCTGATATAAAAAATATATAAAAACAAAATTATCAACTCACTCAAGCTACCCGAATTTGCCAAGAGTTATCACTGTGTCTAGTGAAAGAAAAAAAATTCTCTCTCACTTCATGTAAACCAAAACATTTTGATTCTCTTGGCATTTCTCATAACAGAGAATCTGGATGTAGATGAGCCATGCTATAATAATATGGACTGTATTCAAACTAATTCCCGAAAGGAAGGGAATCAGTGACAAACATATTTGTTGACCTATGGTATTCACTACCTGGTCTTATATTCCATTGCAAGGGATGTATGAAAGACTTTGTGATTTTAGTTTTATAAAGTACAACCTCTTGAGATTGTCCCTTCCTACTGCTAATGAGTCTATCAGGACCCACCTCATGGAGCAAAATGGTCCAGTTAGTGCTGTGTAGCACTGTGTAGTACCACGTGATGCCATTTTCCCCAACCCTCCCCATTATGTGGCAAGTGTCTATAGAAATCACACTTTCTCAGCATGTAAAGCATACGTCATCAGATCCTATGCTTATGAATAAAAGGAAAACTAAAGCAAGGACAGAGAACATCTTAAATGACTACATTCAATTACCACAGAACTTTAATTTTTTTAATATTCAAAATGATACCCACTGATATAGTTTGGCTCTGTGTCCCCACCCAAATCTCATCTTGAATTGTACTCCCATAATCCCCATGTGTTGTGGGAGGGACCTGGTGAGAGATAATTGAATTATGGGGGCGGTTTGTAAGTCTGATGAACTCTGTGGGAGATATTAAAAATGCGGAAGGAGGAGGCAGCCAAGATGGCCGAATAGGAACAGCTACGGTCTACAGCTCCCAGCGTGAGCGACGCAGAAGACGGGTGATTTCTACATTTCCAGCTGAGGTACCGGGTTCATCTCACTAGAGAGTGCCAAACAGTGGGCGCAGGACAGCAGGTGCAGCGCACCGAACACGAGCCGAAGCAGGGCGAGGCATTGCCTCACCCGGGAAGCACAAGGGGTCAGGGAGTTCCCTTTCCTAGTCAAAGAAAAGGGTGACAGACGGCACCTGGAAAATCGGGTCACTCCCACACTAATACTCCACTTTTCCGACGGGCTTAAAAAACGGTGCACCAGGAGATTATATCCTGCACCTGGCTCGGAAGGTCCTACGCCCACGGAGTCTCGCTGATTGCTAGCACAGCAGTCTGAGATCAAACTGCAAGGTGGCAGCGAGGCTGGGGGAGGGGTGCCCGCCATTGCCCAGGCTTGAGTAGGTAAACAAAGCAGCCTGGAAGCTGGAACTGGGTGGAGCCCACCACAGCTCAAGGAGGCCTGCCTGCCTCTGTAGGCTCCACCTCTGAGGGCACAGCACAGACAAACAAAAAGACAGCAGTAACCTCTGCAGACTTTAATGTCCCTGTCTGACAGCTTTGAAGAGAGCAGTGGTTCTCCCAGCACGCAGCTGGAGATCTGAGAACGGGCAGACTGCCTCCTCAAGTGGGTCCCTGAGCCCTGACCCCTGAGCAGCCTAACTGGGAGGCACCACCCAGTAGGGGCGGACTGACACCTCACACGGCCAGGTACTCCTCTGAGACAAAACTTCCAGAGGAATGATCAGACAGCATCATTCGCAGTTCACGAAAATACGCTGTTCTCCAGCCACTGCTGCTGATACACAGGCAAACAGGGTCTGGAGTGGACCTCTAGCAAACTCCAACAGACCTGCAGCTGAGGGTCCTGTCTGTTAGAAGGAAAACTAACAAACAGAAAGGACATCCACACCAAAAATCCATCTGTACATCACCATCATCAAAGACCAAAAGTAGATAAAACCACAAAGATGGGGAAAAACCAGAGCAGAAAAACTGGAAACTCTAAAAAGGAGAGCGCCTCTCCTCCTCCAAAGGAACGCAGTTCCTCACCAGCAATGGAACAAAGCTAGACGGAGAATGACTTTGACGAGTTGAGAGAAGAAGTCTTCAGACGATCAAACTACTCCGAGCTACAGGAGGAAATTCAAACCAAAGGCAAAGAAGTTAAAAACTTTGAAAAAAATTTAGACGAATGTATAACTAGAATACCCAATACAGAGAAGTGCTTAAAGGAGCTGATGGAGCTGAAAGCCAAGGCTCAAGAACTACATGAAGAATGCACAAGCCTCAGGAGCCGATCCCATCAACTGGAAGAAAGGGTATCAGTGATGGAAGATGAAATGAATGAAATGAAGGGAGAAGGGAAGTTTAGAGAAAAAAGAATAAAAAGAAACAAACAAAGCCTCCAAGAAATATGGGACTATGTGAAAAGACCAAATCTACGTCTGATTGGTGTACCTGAAAGTGACGGGGAGAATGGAACCAAGTTGGAAAACACTCTGCACGATATTATCCAGGAGAACTTCCCCAATCTAGGAAGGCAGGCCAACATTCAGATTCAGGAAATACAGAGAACGCCACAAAGATACTCCTCGAGAAGAGCAACTCCAAGACACATAATTGTCAGATTCACCAAAGTTGTAATGAAGGAAAAAATGTTAAGGGCAGCCAGAGAGAAAGGTCAGGTTACCCACAAAGGGAAGCCCATCAGACTAACAGCTGATCTCTCGGCAGAAACTCTACAAGCCAGAAGAGAGTGGGGGCCAATATTCAACATTCTTAAAGAAAAGAATTTTCATCCTAGAATTTCATATCCAGCCAAACTAAGCTTCATAAGTGAAGGAGAAATAAAATACTTTACAGACAAGCAAATGCTGAGAGATTTTGTCACCACCAGGTCTGCCCTAAAAGAGCTCCTGAAGGAAGCACTAAACATGGAAAGGAACAACTGGTACCAGCCACTGCAGAATCATGTCAAATTGTAAAGACCATCGAGGCTAGGAAGAAACTTCATCAACTAACGAGCAAAATAACCAGCTAACATCATAATGACAGGACCAAATTCACACATAACAATATTAACCTTAAATGTAAATGGACTAAATGCTCCAATTAAAAGACACAGACTGGCAAATTGGATAAAGAGTCAAGACCCATCAGTGTGCTGTATTCAGGAAACCCATCTCATGTGCAGAGACACACATAGGCTCAAAATAAAAGGATGGAGGAAGATCTACCAAGCAAATGGAAAACAAAAAAAGGCAGGGGTTGCAATCCTAGTCTCTGATAAAACAGACTTTAAACCAACAAAGATCAAAAGAGACAAAGAAGGCCATTACATAATGGTAAAGGGATCAATTCAACAAGAAGAGCTAACTATCCTAAATATACATGCACCCAATACAGGAACACCCAGATTCATAAAGCAAGCCCTTAGTGACCTACAAAGAGACTTAGACTCCCACACAATAATAATGGGAGACTTTAATACCCCACTGTCAACATTAGACAGATCAACGAGACAGAAAGTTAACAAGGATATCCAGGAACTGAACTCAGCTCTGCACCAAGCGGATCTAATAGACATCTACAGAACTCTCCACCCCAAATCAACAGAATATACATACTTTTCAGCACCACACCACACCTATTCCAAAATTGACCACATAGTTGGAAGTAAAGCTCTCCTCAGCAAATGTAAAAGAACAGAAATTATAACAAACTGTCTCTCAGACCACAGTGCAATCAAACTAGAACTCAGGATTAAGAAACTCACTCAAAACCACTCAACTACATGGAAACTGTATGACTACTGCTCCTGAATGACTACTGGGTACATAACGAAATGAAGGCAGAAATAAAGATGTTCTTCAAAACCAACGAGAACACAGACACAACATACCAGAATCTCTGGGACACATTCAAGGCAGTGTGTAGAGGGAAATTTATAGCACTAAATGCCCACAGGACAAAGCAGGAAAGACCCAAAATTGACACCCTAACATCACAATTAAAAGAACTAGAAAAGCAAGAGCAAACACATTCAAAAGCTAGCAGAAGGCAAGAAATAACTAAAATCAGAGCAGAACTGAAGGAAACAGAGACACAAAAAACCCTTCAAAAAATTAATGAATCCAGGAGCTGGTTTTTTGAAAGGATCAACAAAATTGATAGACCGCTAGCAAGACTAATAAAGAAGAAAAGAGAGAAGAATCAATTAGATGCGATAAAAAATGATAAAGGGGATATCACCAACGATCCCACAGAAATACAAACTACCATCAGAGAATACTACAAACACCTCTACGCAAATAAACTAGAGAACCTAGAAGAAATGGATAAATTCCTCGACACATACACCCTCCCAAGACTAAACCAGGAAGAAGTTGAATCTCTGAATAGACCAATAACAGGCTCTGAAATTGTGGCAATAATCAATAGCTTACTAACCAAAAAGAGTCCAGGACCAGATGGATTCACAGCGGAATTCTACCAGAGGTACAAGGAGGAACTGGTACCATTCCTTCTGAAACTATTCCAATCAATAGAAAAAGAGGGAATCCTCCCTAACTCATTTTATGAGGCCAGCATCATCCTGATACCAAAGCCGGGCAGAGACACAACCAAAAAAGAGACTTTTAGACCAATATCCTTGATGAACATTGACGCAAAAATCCTTAATAAAATACTGGTAAACCGAATCCAGCAGCACATCAAAAAGCTTATCCACCATGATCAAGTGGGCTTCATCCCTGGGATGCAAGGCTGGTTCAATATACACAAATCAATAAGTGTAATCCAGCATATAAACAGAACCAAAGACAAAAACCACATGATTATCTCAATAGATGCAGGAAAGGCCTTTGACAAAATTCAACAACCCTTCATTCTAAAAACTCTCAATAAATTAGGTATTGATGGGATGTATCTCAAAATAATAAGAGCTATCTATGACAAACCCACAGCCAATATCATACTGAATGGACAAAAACTGGAAGCATTCCCTTTGAAAACTGGCACAAGACAGGGATGCCCTCACTCACCCCTCCTATTCAACATAGTGTTGGAAGTTCTGGCCAGGGCAATTAGGCAGGAGCAGGAAATAAAGGGTATTCAATTAGGAAAAGGGGAAGTCAAATTGTCCCTGTTTGCAGATGACATGATTGTATATCTAGAAAACTCCATTGTCTCAGCCCAAAATCTCCTTAAGCTGATAAGCAACTTCAACAAAGTCTCAGGATACAAAATCAATGTACAAAAATCACAAGCATTCTTATACACCAATAACAGACAAACAGAGAGCCAAATCATGAGTGAACTCCCATTCACAATTGCTTCAAAGAGAATCAAATACCTAGGAATCCAACTTACAAGGGACGTGAAGGACCTCTTCAAGGAGAACTACAAACCACTGCTCAATGAAATAAAAGAGGATACAAACAAATGGAAGAACATTCCATGCTCATGGGTAGGAAGAATCAATATCGTGAAAATGGCCATACTGCCCAAGATAATTTATAGATTCAATGCCATCCCCATCAAGCTACCAATGACTTTCTTCACAGAATTGGAAAAAACTACTTTAAAGTTCATATGGAACCAAAAAAGAGCCCGCATCGCCAAGTCAATCCTAAGCCAAAAGAACAAAGCTGGAGGCATCACACTACCTGACTTCAAACTATACTACAAGGCTACAGTAACCAAAACAGCATGGTACTGGTACCAAAACAGAGATATAGATCAATGGAACAGAACAGAGCCCTCAGAAATAATGCTGCATATCTACAACTATCTCATCTTTGACAAACCTGAGAAAAACAAGCAATGGGGAAAGGATTCCCTATTTAATAAATGGTGCTGGGAAAACTGGCTAGCCATATGTAGAAAGCTGAAACTGGATCCCTTCCTTACACCTTATAAAAAATTAATTCAAGATGGATTAAAGACTTAAATGTTAGACCTAAAACCATAAAAACCCTAGAAGAAAACCTAGGCATTACCATTCAGGACATAGGCATGGGCAAGGACTTCATGTCTAAAACACCAAAAGCAATGGCAACAAAAGCCAAAATTGACAAATGGGATCTCATTAAACTAAAGAGCTTCTGCACGGCAAAAGAAACTACCATCTGAGTGAACAGGCAACCTACAAAATGGGAGAAAATTTTTGCAACCTACTCAACTGACAAAGGGCTAATATCCAGAATCTACAATGAACTCAAACAAATTTACAAGAAAAAAACAAACAACCCCATCAAAAAGTGGGCGAAGGACATGAACAGACACTTCTCAAAAGAAGACATTTATGCAGCCAAAAAACACATGAAAAAATGCTCACCATCACCGGCCATTGGAGAATGCAAATCAAAATCACAATGAGATACCATCTCACACCAGTTAGAATGGCAATCATTAAAAAGTCAGGAAACAACAGATGCTGGAGAGGATGTGGAGAAATAGGAACACTTTTACACTGTTGGTGGGAGTGTAAACTAGTTCAACTGTTGTGGAAGTCAGTGTGGTGATTCCTCAGGGATCTAGAACTAGAAATACCATTTGATCCAGCCATCCCATTACTGCGTATATACCCAAAGGACTATAAATCATGCTGCTATAAAGACACATGCACACGTATGTTTATTGCGGCACTATTCACCATAGCAAAGACTTGGAACCAACCCAAATGTCCAACAATGATAGACTGGATTAAGAAAATGTGGCACATATACACCATGGAATACTATGCAGCCATAAAAAAATGATGAGTTCATGTCCTTTGTAGGGACATGGATGAAATTGGAAATCATCATTCTCAGTAAACTATCACAAGAACAAAAAACCAAACACCGCATATTCTCACTCATAGGTGGGAATTGAACAATGAGAACACATGGACACAGGAAGGGGAACATCACACTCTGGGGACTGTTGTGGGGTGGGGGGGAGGGGGAGAGATAGCATTAGGAGATATACCTAATGCTAAATGACGAGTTAATGGGTGCAGCACACCAGCATGGCACATGTATACATATGTAACTAACCTGCACATTGTGCACATGTACCCTAAAACTTAAAGTATAATAATAATAAAATAAAATAAAATAAAATAAAATAAAATAAACTACAAAACATATCTCTCCATTTATTTAGGTTTTTCTTTAAATTTTGTCAAAATTGTTTTGTAGTTTTCTGTTTAAAAATTATAAACTTGTTTCACTAGTTACTCCTAAATATTTACTTTTTTGTACCATTGCAAATCATATCTTTATTTTCATTTTATAATTGTTTGTGGCAAAATACAGAAATACAATTTTTGAACATAGGATTATAATTTTAAATTGATGATGTATCAAGCAGCTCTGATAAATTTGCTCATTAACTGAAATACAATAATATAATAACCAGTGTATAGATTCTTATTTTTTCTACCTATTAATTATATCGTCAATGAGTAATGGAAATTCTATTTCTTCCCTTTTAATCCTTATCTTTCTTATTCTGTTTTGCCTGTGGTACTGGCTAGGACTTCCAGTACACTGTTGAACAGAAGTGATGATAGTAGACATTCTTGTCTCATTCCTAATCTCTGTGAGCAAGAATTTAAAATTTTCCTTTAAACATGATTGTTGTAGGTTTCTGTGAGTACCCCTTAACATGAAAGGGTGTTGAATTTGATCAAATATGTTTTCTACATCTATTAAGATGATTTTTCTTCCTCCTTTATTTTGTAATATGAAGAATTACATTTTTATTTTTGTTAATTAATACCAATATTGCACTCCTAAAAATAATTCAACTTGTGTTATATCTTTCCTTTTTATATATCACTAGATTTCATTTGATCGTATTTTATTAAAGCTTTTCCCATTTGTGGTCATGATGGGGACTGAATTATAATTTGGTGCCCATGTAAGGTTTTTATATGAAGATTACATAGGCCTCATAAAATGAGGTTGGAAATGTTCTTCCTGCTTCTAAACTCTCAAAGAGTTTATGTAAGAGTCATACTATATCCTTCTTAAATTTTAAAATAACTTACCAACGAAGCCATCTGAACCTGGAGTTACTCTTCAGATTTTCTAATTATTCTTCAGCTACTTTTGGTAAGTTGAGTTTTTCAAGGAATTCATTCTTTTCATTAAAATTTTCAAATGCATTGGTATAAAAGTATAAGATCCTCTTAGCATCTTTTTTATGTCTGTGTACTCTGTAGTGATGTCCCTTTTTTCATTCCTGATATTGGTAACATTTCTTATATGTAGATCTCCTAGTAGTGAACTTTCTGTTTTTTTCTTAAAATATTATTTCATTTTTAAAAGACATTTTAATATAGAATACAATGTTCACAGCCTTTTAAAAAAGTTTAGTATTCAATGTTATTCCATTGTCTCTGGCATTCATCAGAGATGGACCACAGCATTCTGAAAGACAGGTGCATTTCACCAGCACTGCAACCCCTGAACAGTAATAACCAATAAATTATTGACTCATGAACTAAGCTAGGCTCCTCCAATGATAATTTTGTAAACATTTTTTGTAAAGAAAGCTACAAATATTTATTATTATTATTATTATCATCATCATTATTATTTAGAGATGGGATCTCGCTCTGTCACACAGGCTGGAGTGCAGCAGCGTGATCACAGCTCACTGTGGCCTTGAACTCCTGGGCTCAAGCGATCCTCCTGTCTTCCTGAGTAGCTGGGACTACAGTCATGTGCCATCACACCTGGCTTATTTTTAAATTTTTTGTAGGGACAGGGTCTTGCCATGTTGCCCAGGCTGGTCTCAAATTCCTGGCCTCAAACGATCCTCCCCCCATGGCCTCCCAAAGTGCTTATAGGCATAAGCCACCACACCCAGCCATCAATATTTTTTTGCTCCTTAGAAAATAATGTATAACTTTTCACTGGTGGCTTTTAGGATTTTCTCTTTGTAGTTGGTTTTCAGCCATTTTACTCTCATGTTCTTAAATGTGGTTTTCTTTGTGTCTATCCTATGGCCCCACAAATCCTGACAGGCTTGGTTACTGCCCATTGCCCTTAAACAGTTGTGGTGATTGCTTATGTTGCTTAGTTTTTACTAGATTTTATAGTTATTCTATAAAATACAAGTTACTTCATCATATACAGATAGAACCAGGTGAACCAGCTTTACGGGTAATTCTAGTTACCCTGCTCTGGTTAAAAATTACTGTTTAGGTTATTAATTTAAACAAAGCTATAGCAATCAAAAGTATGTGATATTGATATAAGGATAGAATAAATATAAAAGGAATAGAATTGAGAGTCCAGAAATAAACCCATACATCTATGATCAATTGATTTTCTCTAAGGGTACCAAAATCATTCAGTGGAGAAAGAACAATGTTTTCAACAACTGATGCTAGGACAACTGAATATCTGGACCAAAAAAGATAAAAATGGACTGTCATCTCACACCACATACAAAAATTAACTCTAATTTATTAAGGATTCAAATAAAAGAGCTAAAACCGAAGAAAACTTTGGTGTAAACCTTCAGGAGTTTGGATTATCTTTATGATATCAAAAGAAGCAACAAAATAAAATATAAATTGAACTTTACCAAATTCAAAATCATTTATGCTTCAAAGGACATCAGGAAAGAAAAAAGACAACTAACAAAATGTGAAAAAATATTTGCAATTATCTACCTGATAAAGGTCTAATATCCAGAATATATGAATAACTCTTACAACTCAACAATAAAAAGCCTGATTTTAAAATGGGCAAAGGATTTGAATATACATGTCTCCAGAAAATCATTGAGGAGAAAGTATGTATCCCAAAACAAGTTTTTAATGCAGACAAAAGTGCCCTATTCTGGAAAATAATGCCAAAAAGGACATTTATTAGTGGGGAAGAGAAGCAAGCACCAGGATTTAAGAAGGGTAAGCTAGCTCTAATGTTTTGTGCAAATGCAGTTAGGTTTAAAATCACGACTGCCCTTATCCATAAAACTGCTAACCCTCAAGCCTTGAAGGGAAAAGATAAACTCCTGCTGGCATCTTTTGATTGTATAACAAGAAGGTTTGGAAAACCAGAATTCTTTTTCTAGATTGGTTCCATCAATGCTTTGTCCCTGAAGCAAGGAAGAGACTGCCTTTTAAAGTTCTTTTGATATTGGACAATGCCTCTGGCCACCCAAACTCTATGAATTCAACACCAAAGGCATTGAAGTGGTCTACTTGGCTCCAAATATGATATCAGCCTCTACATTAGGGGGTCATAAGAACCTTGAAAGGCTCATTACACATGGTACTCTATGGAAAGAATTGTCAACACTGTGGAAGAAAACGCTGACAGAGAGAACATGAAAGGCTTCAGTAGGATGCCACATCAAGCCCCAAACAATAAACTCCTGCTGGAGAAAGCTGTGTCCAGATGTCGTGCATGACTGCACAGGATTTATAACAGAGCTAAACAAGGAGATCATGAAAGAGATTGTGGAAATGGCAAGAAAAAAAATGGTGAAGGGTGAAAGGTTTCAAGATATGACTATTGGGAGAAATTCAAGAGTTAATATACACCACACCAGAGGAATTAACTGAAGATGACTTGATAGGGATGAATGCTTCCAAACCAGTGCCAGATGATAAGGAAGAAGACGTAGAAGAAGCAATGCAAGGAAACAAATTGACATTAGACAATCTGGTAGAAGAGTTCCAATTATTCATGACTGCTTTGACTTATTTTATGACATGGACCCTTCTATGATATGGACACTGAAACTAAAGCAAACAGTGAAAGATTGGTATCATAGAGAAATATTCTTAGAGAAATGAAAAGCCAATAACGTCAGACAAGAAATTATGATGTATTTCCGTAAAGTTAAACCAAGTGTCCTTGCCTCTTCTGCCTCCTCTTCCACCGCCTCCACCTCCTCCATCTCTCCCACTCCTGAGATAGCAAAACCAACTCCTCTTCCTACTCTACTTGAAGATGATGAGAATGAGGATGATGATCCACTTACACTTAATGAAGTCAACATATTCTATCTTCCTTATGATTTTATTAACAATATTTTCTTTTCTCTAGCTGTGTTATTGTAAGAAACAGTATTATATAAATATGCCATAAAAAAATAAAAATAAAAATAAAAATGCGGAAGGCTATGCACATCAGGGGGTCGTGGGGTATATGAGAGATCTCTGTACCTTACTCTCAATTTGCTGTGAATCTAAAACTATGTTAAATAATACAGTTATTAATTTAAAAAAAGATATTTCCTGAACTTGCTATTATCCTATATTATAAAAAGATATAGTCAGCTTGAAAATTGCAAATAAAGATCAAAGTAATATAATATGAATATTATCTCCCAAATTGAAATATACAAAAACACATAAAGCAAATAATTTTAATCGCATACTTGGGTAAAAAAATGGATAAAAATGATTGAATATTTTATCTTATTTCATAATTACAAGCAGGGATTTAACACAACATGAATCAAAACTGGTCCATCCATATAATTAGGATAAATGATAATTTTTACTTTAATTTTGAATCAAAAATTATTATGCTTATTTTATCCAACAATTTTACTGAAAGTTTAATGAGATAAGGACAGATCATAATGACCTAATATTGCCATAGTAACTTTTGTACAAATATCTGCCAACTCTTCACCAAATGTCAAAACTGTAAGCAGCATTGCAACTTAATATGAATAATGCAACTGAAACCAGTACCATGTTATGTTATATCATATTATTTGCTGTTAAAATAAAATTTTAAGACAACACCAAAAATTATGCCAGGGCCATAGCTACCACACAGCAAAGATTTTATACAGTAGGCATGAGATGAGACCACCATCCTTAGAAAGGCCTTATTACAAGAATGGCCCTGGGCTGGTGTTGGGACCTTGGATTTGGGAGGGCTCTCACCATTCCCTTACTGAGAAGAGTGGCTCGCTGTGCCTAAACTGTTTGTGCAAATGTAGCTTACTCTGAACAGCTGATTTTCTTCTGGGAGTCTAGAATTTTGGTATATGTGAGGGAGAGGATGCCTATGTGACTAGCCTCCATCAAAAACATGCATACTGGGACTTCAGTGAGAATCTGCTACTGGTAGACAACTTGTGTTGTCAGAATCTGAGGCTGGGGGAATTAAGCACATTCTGGTAACTGCACAGGAGAAGATTCCTAGAGCTTTGTGTTTGCTTCCCTCCAGACTTCACCACGTGCACCTTTTCCCTTTGCAAATTTTTCTCTGTACCATTTTATTGTATTAAATGTAATAAATCAAAGCCCTGAGTATGAATATTTGCTAAGAGCTGTGAGTCCTTCTCAGTTAATCACCAAACCTGAGGTGGTCTTGGGAGTCTCTGAAACAACTGCATCATAGAAAATTTTTATTATTTGATGTGTTATATGTAACTACAATCAGAAGGTTGCTTTGCAGAGCATCTGTCCCTAATGTTTTTTTTATTTTATTTTTTCATATTTGCCTTTCAGATTCCTATATTTCTATAAACATTTGATGAAAGGTATCAACAAATACATAAAACAATGATGGAAGAAAGTAATGTGAAACAAGCAACAATCCTATTTTGACCAGAATAAATTTAGAAACCTTGATGATTCACAATATGTTCTACAATACAAAAGTTTCTAGAAAAAGTGTTTAAAAGATCATCGTAATTTTCTCTAACTCAGCAGGGCTTCATTCATTTTTATAATGATCATGCATCTGGTTGGGTGCAGTGGCACATGCCTGTAGTCCTAGCTGCTCCTTTGGCTGAGGCAGAAGGACTGCTTGAGGCCAGGAATTCAAGCCACAGTCATTCTTGTCAATAGCTACTGCATGCCAGCCTGGGTAACATAGTGAGACCCCATCTCTTTAAAAAAACTAAATAAATAAATAAAAGATTGTGTATCATTCAGGTAACTGTGATAATTGTAGAATAACATATAGCCATCAGATATACTATAATACTGTACTACTGATCATAGAGTTATGTTTTGTTTTCAATCTTTTTCTTAATTTTTTATAAAACAAAAAAAAATTTTACCTATTAAAGTCAGTTCTTAATAGAACAAGTCAAAATGCCCAAGAAATGCATCCAAAGTACAGTATGAGTTTTTCATTGTTCCTGCCAAATAGTGAATTTGATTATTAAGGATCAACAGGACTTTTAACTTATTGAAGGGGGAAGAAAGTTATCTTGTATATAGATGACTAAAATGGTGATAGTCTGATTGCCCACATAATCTAATTAAATCACAGTTACTAATTTCCGAAGAAATGTAATTCCAGAAAAGCATTTTACATTTAAACTGTGTGAAATAAAACAATTTGTATTTGACAATCCAGGACGCACTTAAAATCTCGGCAGACCATCATCAGTCACCCTGTCAGATATAAAGAAGTTTATTTAGCATTAGAAAGTAACAGAATACCATATATACTTTAGGATAGGTAGCCAATTCTTTTAAAATCAAATAATAGACATTGGTCGAATATACATATGTTAGAAATGTGTTCTAATAGTACTTTTTTGTTTAGGGATGAAATTCAAAGGGAAGCAGTGAAAGCAGAGATATCACAAGAGGGAAGATGAAAACGAAATTACACTAATAAATAGAGTCAGGTACTGACTTCCCTACTGATGTCCCCAGAATTCCAAAAATGCTGAGAACTACTATGTACGCATATCACCTCATATTTTTCTGTGATATTACATTAGTGTTCTGCAATAAAATATTTAAAAGAAATCATTTAAAAGAAATCCAAACTGCTGATTTGCAAACTATTTCTGATCAAAACTTAAAATTCTGTCAAAGCATGGCTGTATTTTGATTCCATGTCAGAGGAAGGATATGAGTATCTGATAATGGCTTCCAGCTGTTGCTGTCAGGTTTTTGTTTGGCAACACATCCAGAAGAGCTTATCAAGGGTTTGAGTAAAAAACAAGCATTTCCCCAAAAACCAGATAAGAAAGATTACACTTTTCCTCATGAGGACCCTTAGGTTCTGACAATTCTGGGAAAATGTTGGCACAGGAACTCACCAGTCTAGGCCTGACTCTGTGTAGGTAGCTGCTGCAGTTACAAAAGAATTAGGTAGGATCGTGGTAGGTGTCTTCCATACTTGAACACCGGAAGTGCCATGTACCTAAATAGTAGACCTTACAACTCTAAAAGTGTTCTTTTGAAGAGGGCACCACCAAAGAGCTTTTAAAATATTAATTTAACTTACTTTTTAGTAATCTTACTTGTTAGAATTTATATTCCCCCTCCTTGAAATTCTCACATTTAAAATATTTTTGCAACACCTCATCCTCTGATAACCTCTCCTACTTTTCTCTAGCCACTGCTCAGCCTTCTTTACTAACTTCTTTTCCTCTGGGAAATGTTGATATTCTCAGGATCTTGCCACTGGCCTTCTGTTTATTCCACGTCTTTCCTATCATGGACAAGCTCATTCAGATCTATGACCTTGCCTACGTTATTCCAAGTCTGCAGCTCCAACCTCAGTTCTACCTCCAGCTAGAAATGCCTAAAATCCAATTACCTACTGAAAATATCCTACGTGAATATTCCATTTAACTCAACATGCACAGAAAGAGGTTAGTCATTCCTGCTGATCTGCTGCTCTTCTCCATTCACCTGCAAATCTCCTACTCCTTCCTCATGTCCAGGTTAAATGCTAGTTCATGACCTGGAAACCGGTAAATCATCTGAGATTTCTCTCTGTGCCCTAAATTTGTATATCCAATAATCACTAACTCATATTATCTCTGTCTCTTCTCTGTCTCTGCTTTATATTTCCACTACCACTGGTTCTTAACTACTGGCTTTTATAGGCTACCAACAATTAATATTATTTCTTAAATAAAAAAACAAGCAAAACAAATGAAAAAGGCAAAAACCAAGAGAAAGATCAACATTTTAAAATTACTAAGTAGCTTTCTAACATCATTTATTTCACCACGGATGGGTGAAACCCTCATAATGGACTGATGCTAGTCCAAGGATTGGTGACAAGGAAGCTATAGCTTTGGCTACTGCAAAAGCTTCCTTTGTCTTACAGTCTCTTTATGTGGTACTTTCCATCTATCCTCCATATGAGGAATCATCCAACTGCAGGCCGCAGGTCCAACCCAGCCTGCCTAATGGTTTTGTAAATAGTTTTATGGGAGCTCAGTCCTGCCTTTTGCTTACATATTATCTATGACTGCTTTCACACTACCATGGCAGGGTTGAGTAGATATGGCAGAGACCACGTGGCCTGAAATATTTCCCACCTGGTTCTTTACATTAAAAGCTTCTTAATACCATAATCAGAATGTCCTAATACTCAAATCTAATCTTGTGACTTTTCTGCTCACAATTCTATAATGAATTCCTACAGAAAACATTGCTGCCTCCCTACCGGATGACCATTCCTTATCTTTCTTGCTGGAGAACCACAAGTCTATTTGAATATTTATCATCCTAATACTCCCTCCCCATCCCCAACAAAAGAAATAACTATTCTAATTTAATCATGGTCATTACATTTGTTTTCCCAGTGCCTGGTTTAGGAATGAGCATTTGGTGTAACAAAGCCAATAAAATGTGAAAGGAAGCCCACTGCAAGCTTCTGAGTTTTCTCCCTATTTCAAAGAAACATGAGAAGAAAAGCAGCCCTTCCAGCCTTCAGAAATTGTGTTGTGAGAACATGATATTTGGAGCTCTTGCTAATTAGCCAGCCATGAAAGGAGACATGTACAAAACAGCACAGCTGAAACAGGGACACCAAGTGGGACCCAGTGTTATCACTGAACCACCCACCAAAGCAACTCTGCTTCCTATTGTTTTAGTCACTGTTAGTTAGGTCCTTTAGTATTTGCAGCCCAAAGCACTCTACCTGGTAAATTTCCCATAGCCTGCAGGATAAGATCTACTCAGTTTAATACTATAAAGTATTAAAAAGTCTATCATGAGCTTGCCTTACCTAGGTTTTTCCCTATTCCCAACCACTCCCATCTCAGTTTCTGCAACAGCAAAATAGAACTGCTCATAAACCCTGCAAAGTTCACTCAAGCATCTTACCTTTTGCACCTGCTGCTCCTTCTCCCAAGCACGCCATCTTGTTAGATGTTCCTTCTGCCAAACATGAAAACTTGTCAGATGTTCCTTCTGCCCACATCATCCTTCTGCCTCTTTACCTAGAAAAGTTCTACCCCTTCTGCATGCTTACCTGAAATCCTACCCACTTTTTAACAGCTTTCATTCCTCACCACATTCTTCAAGTGTCTGGCACATATTTAACATAATAAGTGATCATTATACACTTCCAGACGGCATCCAGCACATAGTAGTAGGCACTGAATGAAGTAGCAAATAATATAAATGAAAATGATCATAACAAACTCCTGACTGTTTTGTTTTTGTTTTGTTTTTTGAGATGGTCTTGCTCCATTGCCCAGGCTGGAATGCAGCCTCCCAAGTAGCTGGGACTACAGGTGCATGCCACCACGCCCAGCTAACTTTTTCATTTTTTTATTTTTATTTTTAGTAGAGTTGTGGTCTCACTGTGTTACCCAAGCTGGCCTCAAATTCCTAGGCTCAAGCAATTATTTTGCCTCAGCCTTCCAAAGTGCTGGGATTATAGGTATGAGTGACCGTGCCCAGCCCTGACTGTATTTTTTTTTTTTTTTTTGAGACAGAGTCTCTCTGTTGCCCAGGCTGGAATGCAGTGGGGCGATCTCGGCTCACTGCAACCTCCATCTCCTGGGTTCAAGCAATTCTCCTGCCTCAACCTCCCAAGTAGCTGGGATTACAGGCGTGTACCACCACACCTGGCTAATTTTTGTATTTTTAGTAGAGACAGGGTTTCACCATGTTGGTCAGGCTGGTCTCCAACTCCTGACCTCAGGTGATCCGCCAGCCTCAGCCTCCCAAAGTGCTGGGATTACAGGCCTGAGCCACCACACCCAGCCCCTGACTGTATTTTTAAATGTTTGTATTCTGTAACATGAAAACAAAAGAAGCTTACTCCCTAAAACACTCTTGATAGTTTATTCATTAAATGGACAAGTGTATAAATGAATAAAAATATTTTATTTGAAAATTATTGGCCAGGTGCGGTGGCTCACACCTGTAATCCCAGCCCTTTGGGAGACCGAGGCGGGTGAATCACCTGAGGTCAGGAGTTCGAGACGTCTGGCCAACATGGTGAAACCCAATCTCTACTAGAAATACAAAAAAAATTAGCCGGGCATGGTGGTGGGTGCCTATAATCCCAGCTACTCAGGAGGCTGAGGCAGGGAGAATTGCTTGAATCCAGAAGGCAGAGGTTGCAGTGAACCAAGATGGCATCTAGCCTGGGTGACAGCGCAAGACTCCGTCTCAAAAAAAAAAAAAAAAGAATCTTGAAAAAACACACAGATATGAAATAAGGACAGCTGTAGTCTATTATGAGCACCTTAAAGACCAAGACTACGTGTTTCTCACCTGTAGCTTGCAAAATCTAACTTGTAAAAGTTCTTCGATTAGACCGGGCGCGGTGGCTCACACCTGTAATCTCAGCACTTTGGGAGGCCGAGGTGGGCGGATCACGAGGTCAGGAGATCGAGACCATTCTGGCCAACACAGTGAAACCCCATCTCTACTAAAAATACAAAAAAATTAGCCGGGCGTCGTGGCAGGCGCCTGTAGTCCCAGCTACTCGGGAGGCAGAGGCAGGAGAATGGCGTGAACGCCGGAGGCACAGCTTGCAGTGAGCTGAGATCGCGCCACTGCACTCCAGCCTGGGCAACAGAGCGAGACTCCGTCTCAAAAAAAAAAAAAAAAAAAAAGTTCTTCGATTAATATGTACTAAACTAAAAGTGTCCTCATACAGTTCAGACTGTACAATGTATTTGGTGTCACATCTAGGTAGCATAGTAGCATTTTTGTTATTGCGAAGCACTTTTATACTTTTATTATAATTTGTTGAGCCTAGAGTTGAACTATTTCTGGTATTCGTTACAATAACCTTTTGGCTACTGGTAAAAGTGTTTTGTTCTAACAAAATTACTGTTATCATGACAATTAACTAGTGAAGAGAAGAACTTATCTTGTTCTAATGAAGTAAATGTATCTCATTCAATTTCAAATTAGGAAGAATGAAGTCAATAAGTGAGACCTTGTTGGTATAAGAATATGTAACATGACCTGTGCTTTTCAACAAGAAAATGCTTTTCTGACTTCTACACTTGGTATCTTCAAAAAAAATAATTTTCTATTAGTATTAGTGCACACTGGATAAGTTTTACAGTTCTTATTGACATTTGTTTATGGTACCAGAAAGGTATTGTTGAGTTCCCAGTTTTAAAAAGTTACTTTTTTTAGTGACATAAATCACTATGTAATACAGTTGACCTTTGAACAACAGGAGTTTAACCTGCAGCAGTCTAATTATATGCAGATTTTCTTCCACCTCTGCCACCTGAGACAGCAAGACCAATCTCCTTCTTCCTCCTTCTCCTCAGCCTACTCAACTTGGAGACCATGAGGATGACCCACTTCCACTTAATAAATAGTAAATATATTTTTATTCCTTATGATATTCTTAATAGCCATTTTTCTCTAGCTTGCTTTCTTGTAAGAATATAGTATAGTAACACACGTAACATACCAAATGTCTTAACTGTTTATGTTATGAATAAGGCTCCTGGTCAATAGTCATCTAATTCGTAGCTAATTTTGGGGGGAATCAAAAGTTACACACAGGTTTTCAGCTGCACACGGGGTCAGTACTGCTAAATCCTATGTTATTCAAAGGTCAACTGTAATTGACATTTATTTACTAAATAAAAGCCTTTTTTTTTTTTTTTTGAGATGGAGTTTTGCTCTTGTTGCCCAGGCTGGAGTGCAATGGCATGATCTTGGCTCACGGTAAACTCCACCTCCCGGGTTCAAGCGATTCTCCTGCCTCAGCCTCCCGAGTAGCTGGGATTACAGACATGCGCCACCATGCCCAGCTAACTTTGTATTGTTAGCAGAGACAGGGTTTCTCCATGTTGGTCAGGCTGGTCTCGAACTCCCAACCTCAGGTGATCCACCCGCCTCAGCCTCCCAAAGTGCTAGGATTATAGGCATGAGCCACACCGTGCCCGGCAATAAAAACCATTTATTTTAAAAATTAAATAGAAGCTCCAATTTCATAACATATCCAGTTTGTTATAATGAGACTATAAATAAAATATACCACATACTAACTTAAAAATCTTTTTTCTTATTTATACAAAAAAATCATATAAGATTTTAGGGACTACAATTAAAGAAATGATTCCTTTCAGATAATACTGTTTGAGATTATAAATTATCTACACACAACTTTTTAAATCTGAAATCTAACCTACTAAAAAGAAATTTAAAACACACACACATATGTGTATATGTGTGTGTATATATATATATATGTGTGTGTATGTATATGTGCAGTTTACATAGTGAGCTTTTAAACTACTCTTTGGTGATTAAAACTTCCTTGCTCTTATTTGTTAATCTATGGTAACACCACCAAGAGTAATTTACTACCAGAAGTCTTACCTGGATTGCTATTTTGAGGATTTCTAGGTGTCTCATTTTCTTTGTATTCAGACATTACTTGGTGAATGCTGTGTAAAAACGAAATAAGTAAAATTACTATTTTAAAACTGATATAAAAATAATTACCAAAAATGTTAAATTATTAGAGTATTTCAAATGATATCAGTGTTAATTTTAGAATTTTAATTATCCCATACACTTCCCATTTGTAAGCTCTACAAACTTCTCTTTAAGCAAAAATAACATGAAGTACTCATGAACTGAAGGCAGTATAGTTCAGTAAATTAACTTGCATTAGCCTTGTGGGCGGCAAGCCATCCAGGTGCCAAGGCAAGAGACCGAGGGCACAAGCTGTTCCAGTGTAATAAAATATATAAAATAATAGTTATACTAGATACAGATCATAGATATGATTATGTATTAATATCATTCATCATTAGTTTGCAGCAATTACTCTTTATTCCAATATTATAATAATCTTCACTCTAGATAGGAGCTGAGGGAACATAGTGAGAAGTGACCAGAAGACAAGAGTGCGAGCCGTCTGTTATGCCTGGACAGGGCCACCAGAGGGCTCCTTGGTCTAGCTGTAGCGCCAGCATGTGGGAAGACGCCCGTTGACAAGCGGACCGTGGTCTGGCGGTAGCGTCAGTGTTAAGGAAAAACACCCGCTACTTAGCAGACAGGGAAAGGAAGTCTCCCTTTCCCCGGAGGAGTTTAGAGAAGACTCTACTCCTCCACCTCTTGTGGAGGGCCTGACTGATAACCTGCAGTTATCCGGAGGCCTAACCATCTCCCTGTGATGCTGTGCTTCAGTGGTCACGCTCCTAGTCCGCCTTCATGTTCCATCCTGTACACTGGCTCTGCCTTTTAGATAGTAGTAGCAAGTTAGTGAAAGTACTAAAAGTCTCTGATAAGCAGAAATAATGGCATAAGCTGTCTCTCTCCTCTGTCTTTCTGCCTCGGCTGACAGGCAGGGAAGAGCCCCCTGTCCAGTGGACACATGACCCACGTGACCTTACCTATCATTGGAAATGGCTCACACTCCTTACCCTGCCCCTTTGTCTTGTATCCAATAAATATCAGCGCAGCCTGGCATTCTGGGCCACTACCGGTCTCCGCATCTTGGTGGTAGTGGTCCCCCGGGCCCAGCTGTCTTTTATCTGTTTGTCTTGTGTCTTTATTTCTACACTCTCTCGTCTCCGCACACGGGGAGAAAACCCACCGACCCTGTGGGGCTGGACCCTACAAGCCTGACAATAATGGAAAGTGTCTTAACTCAGAATAAGCCCTAGCTCCATAACCAAAAGCTACTAGTTCTTGGATGAGTTGCTTTTGTTAGGTTCAATGTCTTCTTCTAAAAAGTGAGAATTTTACTGTCTTGTTTTACTAGGTTGTTATAAAAACTTGAGATAACGTATTTTGAATGTTCAGAAAAATAGCGAAGCAATGAAATAATTTGTTCTTGAACTTTATTGGTGAAACTATCTTGGAACTGCAAATAATATCCAATGCGTATTTTTTGTAGGTTCTAATATTGAAATGTTGTGGTACTTGGGAAATATTATTAAGTCCTAATTTTGTTTATTAGGTGTTCTACTCTTTGTGGCTTCTAATTTAGGGCATCTCATATATTTCATAGTTTGTAACTACATTTATTTATAAACCTATTATCTCATTAAATTAGATAACATTAATTGTCTACTGTTACTGAGCTCATCGATCATACCAAAGGCAAAAAACTAATAGATATTAAGACCTGCCTTGGACTACTATTCCTTCTTTACAGACTCAAACTCTGAACCAGTAGATCTTTGTTAGAATGATGCTTAATCTCCATGTTCACCTCCAACTGACATAAAAGATAAAACTCTTTTTGTAAGTTCCATGAAGGAGATGCAAGTTGACATTTTTCTCATTTCTGAGACACATACTAACAATATATTTGCACACAACATCCCATGTTTTACTCAGCTCCATTCTCATTCCATAGATCACTGTATGTGAATATTTTTGTAGTGAAAATCACAATTTCAATATTAAGTGCCAACCATTTTGCTTTGACTCATGCTGTTTCCTCGGAGCTAGTCAGAAAATTGTCAAATGACCTCCAGGGACTGCACAAAATATGAACCACTTCATGAATTTGTGTGTCATCCTTATGCAGGAGCAATGCTAATTTTCTCTGTATTATTCCAGTGTTAGGATGTGTGCTGCTGAAGCAAAGACAAAACCTACTTTACACGTGAATACTCATGAGTCATGGATGAGACTTAGCTCTGATAAACCCAATAAACCTACTTTGTTGTTGAATGGCTTCCTGTGAGGTAGAATATGAAAATATTTTTAAAACTTGAGGTAGAAATGCAAGTCGTTAGGCCAGGCATGGTGGCTCATGCCTGTAATCCCAGCACTTTGGGAGGCTGAGGCAGGCGGATCACCTGGGGTCAGGAGTTCAAGACCAGCCCGGCAAACATGGTGAAACATCGTCTCTACTAAAAATACAAAAATTACCCAGGTGTGGTGGCGCATGCCCGTAATCCCAGCTACTTGGGAGGCTGAGGTGGGATAATTGCTTGAACCCAGGAGGCGGAGGTTGCAGTGAGCCGAAATCACACTATTGCACTCCAGCCTGGGCAACAGAGCAAGACTCCATCTCAAAAAAAAAAAAAAAAAGAAAAAGAAAAGAAAAGAAATGCAAGTAACTTGGGAGATTTTCATTATTATGGAAAACAGATTGCTTGAGGATAAAACCACATATTGAAAAAAAAAAAAAAAAGAAAGAAAAAGAAAACACACAAATTGGCACCCACTGCTCTAGGGAAGGATAATATAGAACCTTCCACTCCCTAAGAAAATGTGCTAAACAGCTGTAAAGGCGCCTCAGAGTACAGATCTGGTAACAATGGAGTAAGAAAACACTGATCTCTTTCTGCAACATTATTTAACCTCTTTGACAGTTTAGAACAATCTCAACTACTATTTGACAGAAAAAAGACAAACAAGGGCCTCAAAGGATAACTTACCACGAATGCCTCAGCTAAGTCTAAGCTAAGATGTGGGCTCCACAGAAGGTTTCGAGTGTGGGGGAAGGTTGGTCAATTTTCTTTTTTTTTTTTTTTTTTTGAGACGGAGTCTCGCTGTCACCCAGGCTGGAGTGCAGTGGCGCGATCTCGGCTCACTGCAGGCTCCGCCCCCTGGGTTCACGCCATTCTCCTGCCTCACTCTCCTGAGTAGCTGGGACTACAGGCGCCCGCTACCTCGCCCGGCTAATTTTTTGTATTTTTAGTAGAGACGGGGTTTCACCGTGTTAGCCAGGATGGTCTCGATCTCCTGCCCTCGTGATCCGCCCGCCTCGGCCTCCCAAAGTGCTGGGATTACAGGCGTGAGCCACCGCGCCTGGCTAAGGTTGGTCAATTTTCTCACTATGTGTGTGGCTAAAGCTAGGATGCCCAGCTGTCAGAGCAGGATGCTAGTGCTTTGGGAACAATGGCTGAGCATATATGTATGTGAACTAAAAAAAGTTATAGCTATGAAGTCTATGTATGAATCACCATGAAAACTGAGGGCTCTGAATTAGTAAGCGAATCCTGGTGGGAAAAGTCAAGCATTAACAGACTGCAGAACCACTTTTAACGGCAATAATGCAGGAAAAGAATCAAAGGAAACAACAGAATGATTAGAATGTCCTTTTCTTCCCTTCCTTCTGACCGGTAAAAGATTGTCATTTTTATCCTTCTTGGACTTAGGAAACCCCTTAGGTTCTTGAAAAATTGAAAGAGGAGGGTATAGGAGATAGCCCTCAAAAGACCATACAAGATTTTCTGCTAAACTGAACATTTCAAGACCCAAATAATTAATTAGAGAAATCAGAGATGTGGCACTATTTTTATCCTACGCATGTGGCTATACTTGGAGTAAAAGGGACAATGTTGGGATCTCTAAGGTAAAGATCTCAAAAGTCCTGAGATAAAGAATTCTGCACCCATTGATACTTCTAACCAGTCCAGCCTTTTGCCTGATTTCTGGCTGATAAAGTGGACTAACTCACTGTCACTCCAAAACGACCTGAATTAAACTATAAAATCTCACCTGATGTATAGGATGCAATAGCTATAATTATTTTAAGCCTCAATTTAGTGTAAACTAGCCTTCTAATATAAAAACTTGCCTAGTAAAAGGACTAAAAATGGCATAATCTTCTGCAGCCCATCTAGACATATCTTGGGAAAACACATCAGCATTTTGCTGAAGAAGAATGCTGACTATTCTTGCTGATTCACAATGTACAGCAAGAATGAGGGCTGTTTTAAAACACCAGAGAGATAAATTCTTTCTTAGGAACTTTAAGAAAGTTATTTAAAAAGCTAATTTGATATAATATACCAATTTAATATCTTGCCTGTCCATGTAGAATTAAACATTTACATGTACTAACAAACATAAGCATCTTGGGTGCTCAAGTGTTCATCTTCATAAATTACCACCAATGCTTAAAAAAAAAAAAAAAAAAAAAAGCCTCTTGTCCCAGTAGAGTATTATATCATAGAAGTTGCTAACTTAAAGTCCTTTGATGAGCAAGAAACTATGCTGAGATCCCTTATCTAATGTAGGCAAAGATTTAAAGACAGATACATTGTAATTCAAAATCAGCTAGGGGTCAGATAAGTAAGAGCCATCTGCAGGCAGGAAACAATAATACTAATACTAACGGTAACAATAATAATAATCATAGTAGTTTCAGTTAATGATGCCGATACACATGTGCTAGGCACTGAACTAAATTTTATATATATATATATATATATATATAAATCTTTCTTCCACACAACCACCCTTGAAGGATATATTATTATCCTCCTTTTCATATAGAAAAACATATTTGGTGATAAGTAATGTTCCCAGGTCACATTTCTAGCAAGTGAGAAAGCTAGGACTTAAACCCAGTCTTGTGTGAATCTAAAGCCTAGCTCTTTTCTCTTTTTCACCCACCTATGGCTTGTCTTCATTAGAAGAAGAAGTTATTCATTTAAAGCTATATTTTCTTCCTCTGCCCATAGCAATTACAAATAAAAACATCAGGGCCGGGTGCAGTGGCTCATGCCTGTAATCCTAGCGCTTTGGAAGGCCGAGGCGGGTGGATCACCTGAGGTCAGGAGTTCAAGACCATCCTTGCTAACATGGTAAAACCCCATCTCTACTAAAAATACAAAAAATTAGCTGGGCATGGTGGCATGTGCCTGTAGTCTTAGTTACTCAGGAGGCTAAAGCAGGAGAATCGCTTGAACCCTGGAGGTGGAGGTTACAGTGAGCTGAGATTGCACCACTGCACTCCAGCCTGGGTGACAGAGCGAGACTCTGCCTAAAAAAATAAATTAAATAAAATAAAAACATCAAAATACACTAGAAATGAAATAGAAAAAACTAATGAACCCACGGTATCTGGTAATAGCAATTAACAGCCACATAGGGATAACTTAACATTACTATTTTTCAAAGAAAGCAACTTAAAGAGTCATCTAGAAGAAAAAATGATTTTCAACTCCTATTTATGTCTAATATAGCATGTTTAAAGGAAGAGCATATAAGAAGCAGAGGTTAAAAACTACTATAAAAGGGTTAAGAAGTTCAATATTTATTAAATCTTAAAGTATACTAAAAGTTAAAATCTACATTTCATACAACTAACAAAACCAATATAAAAACACTTTGGTCAGGTCACATGACCAAAAACATCACATTACAAATAACAAACACCAGTCAATATAATAAGAGAAGATGAATCCTACTATATACTCTTCTCTATGTTGCCCAGTCCAAATAATTGTTTTTCTACTTAACCGATGATTTGTGTTGATATTTTTTACTATATCACAATAATTACAAGTTAATCTTCTTATTAATCTAGTATTTCTAACTAGAGAGACTGTTATCACTCTAGAATATCAGTCAGGTTTTAAAAAAAGAACTAATTACTGTACCTTTCAAGCTTAACTGCAGTTAAATTTTCTTTTTGCTTTCTTAAAAAGTCTTCCATTTGCTGTTTTTGTTCATGTACAGCTAGCAAAAATGGTGTGAGTTCATCCTGTAAAACGGCAAGAGCAACTGATAATTCACAACGTTACATATTTCTCAACTGAGCTGGAAACTTTATATTTATGTAAGTAAGTAAGTCCCTTCCTTTTTATTCTTCTTTGCTTTTCCGTGTGCTGTTCCTTCCCTTGGAAAAACCCCTTCTCCTCCACCTCACCACATGAACTCTGGTCATCTCCAAAACTCACTTCAATACCAGCTCCAATAATCTTCACTTCTGTCACAGCACTTAACATAGTATATTGTAATGATTTTATTGTTTTCCATGTAAACCAAGAGCTTCTTGAGGGCAGGGGCTCTACCTTTTATCTCTATATTCCCAAATCTTAAGACATATTAGTAAAAGCTTCAAGCGTTTTTATTAATGATCTAAATTATTGCGTCTAGTGTTTCTTAAGCTGCATTGCAAAGAATGTTTACTTTACCAGATGTGTAACACATCCAGCTACAGCTAAGAATAACCTAGAAAGGCTTATAGGGACGCTAATGAGAAGGTGGTTATTTATGGCAAATATAAAAAATGAGAGTTAAATATAAAGAATATTTACCATAAATAAAAAGAATATAGAATTTAGCAGTTTTTTTTTAAACTTCTAAATTTTAAAATTCAACTCTGGTGCTAAGGGATTTATATAAAATATAGGCTATATATTATAAACAAATAGAAACTGTCTTGAAAGCCTTGACATCTTTATCAAAATATACTGTAAGACGAGAGTTGTCAAATGCTTACAAGGGCAAAGGGGGTGACCTAAGTGAGGTACCTAGGTGGGCACCACAGCAAACTAGAGAACACAGGCCTCATAGAAAGGGGTAACCTCTGCACATCAGACCAAACAGTGATGTGGGCTCAAGGGACACCAGATTTGGTTCTTAAGAGAAGCCTAAAATCCAGATTTGTATATAAGTCTCCTAAATTTTACCTGTTGACACAATTTATGAAGGCAAGTGAAACATACCTATGGGCCACATTTAGACCGCAGCCCTTGCATTTTTAAACTTGCCGTGGGTGTGTTGCCAAATGGTTGTGCATAAAGTAAGTATTTGCATGTAAAATATTTTTTCTTTAGTTTCAGATGTTTTACCAAAAAAACAGTTCCCAACATATAATAAAATTTGCTACTAAGACTCACACTACCCACTTCAGTAATTTTTCTAGCATTTATTCATTTAAAATCTGTTAGTAAGTAGTTTTCTGAGATTGTTAGCCAAATAGATATTTAGTTCATAGGAATGCTGAAACGAAATGATTAAAAGAATTTATGGCCGAGTGCGGTGGCCCACGCCTGTAATCCCACCACTTTGGGAGGCCGAGGCAGGCGGAACACCTGAGGTCAGGAGTTCAAGACCAGCCTGCCCAACATGGCAAAACCCTGTCTCTACTGAAAATACAAAAAATTAGCTCGGCGTGGTGGCAGGCGCCTGCAATCCCAGCTATTCAGGAGAATGAGGCAGGAGAATCTCTTGAACCCGGGTGGCAGAGGTTGCAGTGAGCTGAGATTAAGCCACTGCACTCTAGCCTGGGGGACAAGAGTAAAACTCCATCTCAAAAAAAAAAAAAAAGAATTTATATCTGTACTCTTAGTAACTTCATGGTTTTCAGGGTTTAAAACTGTCATCCTGATTATACCAAAACTCTATGAACAGACATACTGATATAGCCCATAATACAGCTTCAACAACAACAACAAAATGTTTAGAATTTGCTACAATTCTAGTTAAGGAAACTCCACTTGTAATAAAGATTTATTGGCCTAATTACCTGAATGGTAACAAAGAGATGTGAAGTCCTGAAGGGGTCAGCCTCCACTTAGTGAAATACTGCCCAGGCTGAGTGTACTAGCTCATGCCTGTAATCCCAGCACTTTTGGAAGCTGAGGCAGAAGGGCTGCTTGAAGCAACCGAGAGTTTGAGACCAGCCTGGGCAATATAGTGAAACCCTGTATGTACAAAAAATTTAAAAATTGGCTGGGCATGATGGTGCATGTCTGTAGTCTCAGCTACTCAGGAGGCTGAGGTAGGAGGATCACTTGAGTTCCAGAAGGTTGAGGCTGCACTGAGCTTTGATTGTGCCACTGCACTCCAGCCTAGGTGACAGAGCAAGATCCTGTCTCAAAAAAATTTTTAAAAAGAAAGACTACCCATAGCAAATTTATAAAGACCCGCTGAATGGCAGTAAATAATTAATGGTGGGAAGGAAAAGGTGTTATTCTGTAAGCTGATAGATATTGCCAACAATATTTCTTTTAGCTTCACAACCACAAAGGTAAAGAAAAATGGGCTAATATTATTGAAAAGGAGAGATTTTAAGGAAGTAGTACCTATCAAACTCCAACTCTTCTAGAGATTTCTTAACTCTAGAAGAGCAATTTATATATTACACTTACCTATTCAGTGATTCTTAACCAGACATGTATCAGAATTTTGAGGAATTTGCTGTTATTTAGTCAGCGCTGGGGTCTTACTATGTTGCCCAGGCTAGACTCAAACTCCTGGCCTCAAGCAATAGCCCCACCTCAGCCTCCTGAGTAGCTGGGACTGTAGCTATGTTTCACCATGCCTGGATCCAAGGAAATATTTGTAAACATGTATGTCTAGGCTTTATTAGATTTACTATATCAAAATCATCAGAGGAGAGGTTAGCTTTGTAGAATTTTTTATATTTCCCTAGGTTATGGTGATGCACAATTCTAGCTGAGAACTAGTGCAATCGACAATTACTTCCATCATCTCTCACCACATGACCAGTTACCTTTATCTTTGAGGATTTGGCCAAAAAGAGGAAAGAGTAAAAGAGAGTTTTTACTCTCTGTTTTACATTTACTGAGAGTTTTTTCTCTCTCTTTTACATTTACTGAAAACTCCACACAATTTGTTTGGGTAGGAATAGAATAGGGACTAGTAAACTCAAAATCCAACTTGACTTTGCTATTTGTAAGCTCTTTATCTTCCACCTTCCCCTCAGGACAGTCTAGATTTGAGAGCAGTGTTTAGACATTTATCTAAGCGGCTGTTTCTGCCAGCATAGGATAAGTCAGTTAATTACTTGCTTAAGGGTTTCCCACTTCATCACCACCTATTCACAGCCAAACTGGTTTCCTCACGGTCCTCCTAAGATTGATCTCTAGATGAGTGAACAACTCATTAACTCTCTCCCAAACTGAAAACTATTATCCCCAAAACTGAAAAGAATCTTGTCTAGACACATAAACTGGAAACAAAGAAACAAAAAGCAAACAACAACAAAAAAAACTCTTCTCGGTATTTTCCCTCAATTACCTAATTTCCAAATTGGCCTGCATATTTCTGGTTGCTCTCCTTTCCTTTTCCATTTTTCCCTTTTAAGCCCTGCTACTGAGAGTTAAATCATTTTCATATATATTACTCTATGTAGGAACTTATCAACAGCATCAAGATTTCTGTTTATTTAAAATGTGTTAGCTTTGCTGGCATTTTAAGATAAAGCTTATTTCCAGAGCAAATTTCACTTTCCAGGGTAATTGTATAATAATTAGAAAAAAAAACTTGGAAGGAAAAAATTTAAAAGTATTACCTTTTCAAATTCAGTGTTTTCAAAAATTTTACCATAAATACATTTAAAAAGATATACCCTCTAATGCTTCTTTAAAAGTATCAATATTTAAAGTAACATTTTATAATTAAGTTATTTCCAAATATTTTTATTCAGGTTATGCTTGAGCTTCCAAATATGGAAAACTGACCTGTACATAAGTCAATGTTAAAACAAATGCATTTCAAATATTTTGAAAATAAAGTTGGTTGATCTATACCTTGTTTGCTGATTCAATATTGGCATGGTGTAAAAGCAGTTTTTTTGTCATTGGGATATCCTCATTGTAGATGGCATAGTGTAAGGTAGTATTGCCATAGACATCTGGAAGGTCTGGGTCGGCTCCGTGTTCTAGCAAAATAGTCGCACATTCCTCTTCCTGGCATTGTACCGCCTGTCAGTGTTAGACCAAGAAATAGATTGTAAATTCTAGGAGTTCAAAATAAGCATTCCACAAGTTTCACCAATGAGTTCTGTTTAAATGATGGATTTTATTTTATTCTATGTATTTGTATCAAATCCATCTCATGCTGAAATTGTTGACTACTATGTACCTTTAGCAGAGCAGTCCTGTTTTTGTTGTCAAAGACATCAAGTTGACATCCTCTGTCCACCAGAAGAGCTACCACTTCTGGATGGCCGTTGGCACAGGCCAAATGCAGAGCAGTCCTATGAGAGGGAGACGACATTTTTAGGAAACTATTGGAAAACATAAAATCATAAAATCATCTGAAAACATAAAATCATCTATATAATTATAAACATTGAGTAGCATGTGATTTCTCTGCCTTCCAAACAAATATTTAATTTTTTATGAAGAAATCACACTTTTTACTCTCTCTTATTACTCACTACATTAATGAAAGAGCAGCCTATTTCAATAGAAAGACCTTGGCCTTTGGATTCAGTTCAACTTGGACTGGAATCCTACTTTAAACTCTGTCACTTCCTACTTATTGCTTAGCCTTTTTTGCCTCGATTTCCTTATTAATAAAGTGGGGTTAAAAACACTGGCTGTCTCACAGGACACTGTTGTGATGCTTGCATGAGACTCTGTACAAAGTATTTAGACAGTTCCTAGCACAAATAACAGCTCAGTATTTGTTAGGTATTACAATTATTACTAATACTACCACTTAACAAATACAAGATTTTAGTTAAGTAAAATGATACAATTATATCTTCTTTGAGATATGTTTAAAGATTAGAGGTAACATTGTATTTTGATCATTCTGAGTTGCTCACTTGCTCATATTTTAACATCTCTGACATTGGAATCCCACTTACAATTCTTGACTTATTACAACTAAAATTGGCAACATTTAAACAATTCTCTTATTGAGACATAAAATGACAGGGCATCACAGAATCCATGGTGCCTTGCAATAAGTAGAATTAGTATATACAACACATCTAGGGCCGTTCTAGTCATATAAATGGCATTTAAATAAATTTTAGTTCTTAAAAGTACTATGGAACGAGAGGACTGAAAATAAAGATGACAACAAATGTTTAAAACAAACTCATTCTAACTTTGATTTTCAAAAAAAAAACACTTTAAGCCAAAAGAAATTCAGAATTCAAATGAAAGCATACGGCTTATTTTATTTTCTATTTAGATTTATAGAATGGATGTAAATCAGGCACTTTCAATGATTAATATTCACATTTAAGACTGTTAAAAACTTTCAAAAGAGTAGTTATAAGTTATATTTTGTGGCCGGGCACAATGGCTCATGCCTGTAATCCCAGCACTTTGGGTGGCCGAGGCAGGCAGATCACCTGAGGTCAGGAGTTCAAGACCAACCTGGCCAACATGGTGAAGCCCTGTCTCTTCTAAAAATACAAAAATTAGCCAGGTGTGGTGGTGCACGCCTGTAATCCCAGATACTCAGGAGGCTGAGGCAAGAGAATCACTTGAATCCAGAAGGCGGAGGCTGCGGTGAGCCAAGATCAGCCAAGATTGTGCCATTGCACTCCAGCCTGGGCAACAGAGACTCGGTCTCAAAAAAAAAAAAAAAAAAAAGTTCTATTTTGCTATTTTCCACCTTCAGAAATGCTTAAAGGAGGAAGGAAAAGCTTCAGTTGAGATTAAGTTATAATACTCCAATTTTAAATCTCTCAGTTTGCTCAAGCTAGGCAGGTAAATATGAAGTTTTTAAGGATGAAAGCATCCTGAAAGATAGTAGAATATGTGTACTACATAACAGGTGTCCAGCCTCTGTTTGATGAATAAATCGATTGAAAGAATGGAGGCTGTGCGTGGTGCCTCATGTCTGTAATTGCAGCTCTTTGAGAGGCCAAGGTGGGAGGATTACTTGGGCCCAGGAGTTTAAGACCAACCTGGACAACATGGCGACACCCGTCTCTACAAAAAGTACAAAAATTAGCCAGGCATGGTGCGCACACCAGCAGTCCCAGCTACTCAGAGGCTGAGGAGAGGATCACTTGAGCACAGGAGGTCGAGGCTGCAGTGAACCATAATTGTGCCACTGCACTCCAACCTGGGTGAGATCCTGCCTCAAAAAGAAAATTATTTTTATTTAAAAAAAATGGAAAAATACAGTTGGGGAGTTCAACATTTTTAAGGAAAACTCCCATAAGATAAAGCAATACTTTTGTAATAGTAATAATCACTTATATTTGCTATTTTTTATTTTCATAAGGACACAACTAAACTAAAATTTTTAATCTGTTTTTTTCACATATATAGTAAATCTGTATATAATAAAAACATATGTATATAATGAAAATGTACTCATAATAAAACCTTTAAGCACAGATAAAAGGATTCCCCCTTCTCCAAAAAAGGCTAAAAGTTAACTGAAGAGACCAAACCGCAAAAATAAAATAATACAAAGTGAGAAATGATTTTTATCTAGGCAAGTTTCATGTATTCTTCTTTTCCCAAGGATTATTTCATTAATAATAAGCCTTTACTATAACTTTTATACAAACTCATTGCAGAAATCACAGACAAGAAAAAAAGGTACTTATAGTACAAATGCCCAGAAATAAATGTACTCATATTTGGTACATATTTTCAGCTAAAACAAGAGCATAGTCTGTGTGTATGTACACTCAAAATAATTTTTTCTCAATTTGTATAGCAAAGTACATCTTCACATGTCAAAATAAGTCTGCATCTAGTCACACCTTCAACGGCTACTATTCCATCCTATGGATGCACTGAAATTTAGTTCTAAAATCCACCATATGAGTTTTTCTTAATACATTGAGGTTTTAAGCAGTACTGAGAAAAACAAATTGGATGTATCTCTATTTTTTACAAATATTTCAGTATAATGGAATTGATGAGTGAAGGGCATTTATGTTTTTTTTAAATGTGGTGCTTATCACCAAATTCTCTACTTGAAAATTCATCAGCAACTTAAACTTTAAGCAGCCATATAAGTACCACTGTCTTCATCTTCACAAACTTTGTGGATAGGAAACAGTATTTTATTTCTTTTTTAACATGAATTACTTCTCTTACAAGAAATACTAAATATCTTTTCCTATGTCACTTATAGATCTACAAAAGAAGTACTTTGCCCAAATTTAGAATTATTTTCTTGTTGATCTGAATTATCTGTAATATGAAGATACATTTTTCACCTGATGTGTATGTATTACATGTGTGTGTTATATGTATGTAGTGTAAATATTTTGCAAGTAGGTTGTCTTTTTTTCTTATTTACAGAGTGTTTTAAGTTTTATTTTGCTAAATCAACCTGCAGAATGCTTGCTTGTGAAGTTCTTAAGAAAGTCTTTGTCAACATAAAAATGTATCTGTATAAAAAGGCATGTGTGTCTTCTTCTGGTACTTTCCTTATTTTGTATACTTAAAATATTTGATCTATATTTCATCAGGAACTTATTTCTGTGACATAAAAATCTAGTTCGTTTTCACCAAACAGCAGGCATTTCATTTATGAATAATTCACCCTTCCTACTAATCTAAAATGTCAACATTATCAAGTTCTAAATTCTTACATGTATTTGGGCAATTCTAGATCTTCTATTCTGTTTCATTCATTTGTCTTTTCAGTTGTTAATAAACAATTTGTGGAAATTAATAGCACATTTTGATATATAGAAAGGCCAGTCTTTCTCACCTCATTACAAAAAACATTTTCATGTCATCATAATAGTAAAACACAGACAACAAGTTTAATTTTAAAATGTTAAAACTTTGATATTTTTATCTGATTTATGTAAAGTTGATAGACAAAGAGCTCACATCTTAAGAAAAACGAATCTTCCTACTCAAGAACAGGAACGACTTCCCACTTCAAAGTTTCCTTCTAAGGTTCCTCAGTAAATAACGTATTTACGTAGATGTACATTTATATAAAAATAAATATTAGATATAATCTGAAGAATTGTTAGCCCAGAAGTTGAAATGTCATGGGAATTATTGCTCTCCTTATGCACCTGTCTATAGCGTATATAACTTTATGTTGGCCAGGCGCAGTGGCTCACGCCTGTAATCCCAGCACTCTGGGAGGCTGAGGCGGACGGATCATCTTAAGTCAGGAGTTCGAGACAAGCCTGGCCAACATGGTGAAACCCCGTCTCTACTAAAAATACAAAAATTAGCCGGGAGTGGTAGTGTGCACCTATAATCCCAGCTGCTCAGGAGGCTCAGGCAGGAGAATTGCTGGAACCCGGGAGATAGAGGCGGCAGTAAGCCAAGATCGCGCCACTGCACTCCAGCCTGGGCAAAAAGAGCGAAACTACGTCTCATTAAAAAAAAAAAAAAATATATATATATATATATATATATATATATATATATATATATATATGTTTTGAAATGTGTCCATTCAAGATAAAGTGCTGTATAGACTTAATTAACCCCTCCAAGGTTTCCCCAGGCCAGGTGCTGTGGAGCCTGCAGAGGCAGGAAAGCCAGGACCCCGGGGTCAGGAGGGATCGCCCCCCACCCCGCATCCCCCCGCCAAAAAGGGGGCACTTCTCCCACACACCCGCCTCCTCCCAGTCCCCGCCCCCAGCCCCAGCTCCTGTCACCTTTTCTTCTTGTCTCTCTCATCCAAGTCAGCGCTCCCGCTCGAAAGGATGCACTCCACCTTGGAGACTTCACCCCGGCTGGCAGCTCTGTGGAGCTTGCCGAGGTGTTTCTCTTGGATATTGTACCCGCACTGGGCGAAGGGGCTGTCATCGCTCTCGGCGACATCGTCCCCCCTGCAACACCAACAGCCGGTGAAGGAGCAGGAGGGCCCCTGGCCCTTCTGGCCCCCGAAGCCAGAGCTCCTCCTCATGGCGGAGGCTATCAGAGACACCTCAGCACCAGTCCGCCTATCACAGCCTCAGAGGCCCAGTAAGACCAAGCCACTCTGGTCAGCCACCACCTCCAACCAGGAAACTTCGCAGTTTCCAAAGTCAGAGCCAGTAACAAGCGAAGCCAACCAGCCAAGCCGCGCCAAGCGAAGCCGGTATGCCCGACCGCGCATGCGCACCTCTGACAGCTCGTCACTGCGCGTGCGCACAACCGACAGGTGGCCAACCGTTCTCAGCGCGCATGTGCATGGCTCACGTGTCAGAAACATCGATGACAGCTTGTCACCAGCCCTGCGTTCCCGCCCCACGTCAGTGAGAGTTGGCAGAGTTTTCAGGACATTCCCCGGAAGGGGAAGGCATCCTGAAGTTCCAGCTACTCTAGCCCCAGTCACGTGTGAAGACGCCATTCCCACGTGGGAACACAGGACTGAGGGTAGAGCAGCTAGAGAACCTTGGGATGCTGAAGGCCTCGCCCGGGGAAACCCCCATGAGGACACTCTCTGGCGGGCGGAGCTCCTTGCAAATCGCGGCTGCAGCTCGGGCGCCAGCGAAGGCTGCTGAGCTCAGAACCGAGGACCTCAGAGTAGGCAGCGCACCACTCCCTGCCCAGCCAGCAGACCCTCCCAGCGCAGCTTCTGGTGCCTGCCTGCACCCGCTCCCCTGGCTTGTGCCTAGAGCCACCTGGATGGAGCCCAGCGGCCCATTCCGCCCCTACGCAGCCACAGCCGCTGCAGTCCGGCCTGGCTTCCTTGGTTGAGACTGACCCCGGGGCCCGCGCTGCTGGAGGAAAAATAGTCAGAGGAGATGCTGGGTTGCATTCATCTGTGTCATATTAGAGTCTTTCCTCAGCTGTCTGGGGATCCTGCGCGGTCTGCTCCATTTAAAAAGTCAGCACATTACCACCTGATTGGAGGCTCAATCCCCTGATGCTTAGCAACTATGAGCTTTACCAGAGGTCAATCATGGGGCGTTCCCTTAAAAAGCATCCAGTATTTGTACAGTATCTCTGGGGAAATGACCACGAAGGGAGACCTAAAAAACATTTCTATAAACCTCTGCCCGTAGAGTACAGACCTGGCAGTCGGCATCCTGGAAGCTGAGCATGAGAAGAAAACTAGGGATCAGGCTCGGTGACTCAGGCCTGTAATCCCTGCACTGTGGGAGGCCAAGGCGGGAGGATCGCTTGAGCTCAGGAGTTAAAGACCAGCCTGGGCAACATGGAGGAACCCTGTCTCTACAAAAATTAGCTGGGTGTGGTGGCGGGCACCTGTAGTCCCAGCTTCTCAGGAGGCTGAGCCACGAGAATCATTTAAACCCTGGAGGCGGAGGTTGCAGTGAGCCAAGATGGCACCACCGCACTCCAGCCTGGGTGACAGGACGAGACCTTGTCTAACAAAAAAGAAAAGAAAAAGGAGAAAGAGAAGAAAACTAGGAGCCATTCACATAACCCCGTTTTCAGTACAGCACTCCAGTGGCCTACTACGCCTAGTGTCTGCCAGGCCAGAGACCCTCTTTTTTTTTTTTTTTTTTTTTTTTGAGATGGAGTTGCGCTCTTGTTGCCCAGGCTAGAGTGCAGTGGCTCGACCTCAGCTCACTGCAACCTCTGCCACCCACGTTCAAGTGATTCTCCTGCCTCAGCCTGCCGGTTAGCTGGGATTACAGGCGTCTACCACCACACCCAGCTAATTTTTTGTATTTTTAGTAGAGACGGGGTTTCATCATGTTGGCCAGGCTGGTCTCGAACTCCTGACCTCAGGTGATCCACCGCCCCCCCCCACCCTCGGCCTCCCAAAGTATTGGGATTACAGGCCTAAGCCACCGTGCCCTGCCGATTTTCTGCTTTTTCAAATCTCACCTTTACCTTTACTTCCAGAAGTACCTGAAAGTGCCAATTCCTGCACCAGGCACTTCCCAGCAGAGAAAACTGACTCCTAAGCTAGCAGTAGGGAGAACCAAGTCAGTTCCCACTTGTCCATGTGCTTTTCAACTTCCAAATTTTGCATATTTTATTTCCTTTCTCTTTCTTTTTGTGTTTTTTTTGAGTTTACATATTCTTTTAATCTTCTTACTCTTTGTTACTCTCAAAGCTTCGCTAACATGCTAAGTGATGCATACATTGAATCAGCCATCTCTACCTAGAACTGAAACTGACTTTCAATCCCCAAAGAAATCCCAGTCCTAAGTTAACAAGAAGAAACACAGAAAACCCTACTCCCCTTTTAGTCTAATGAGACCAACCAAATGTCCTCCCTATGGAACTATGAAACAGGAAAGTTCCCACGATCTTGCAATCCAGGCTGTAGTGGATTATAACAGCTACTGTTTGGGACTGCCCAAAGCGTCTCCTTTTGGTGCACTTGATGCAGACATAACCAGTCATAGCATCTCATTACCCGGGGCAGAGGGATTTATATGCTTCAACCAAGACCAATCAGAGTCCTTCCCTTGGATAAATACGCGGCTGTTGGAAAAAGCAACTGCAGTAGAAAAAGGGCTTTGAAGATGAAAAGTTGGGCGGCACCAGCGAGGGCCCAGGCGGGAGATGCTGATGAGGCTGGGAGGACGCTGCTGAGCCCCTGTCAGCCTGACAGCCAGCACATGATGGCAATAGAGGAGCTCAAAGTGTGCCTTCTCGGGGACACTGGCGTAGGGAAATCAAGCATTGTGTATCGATTTGCCCAGGATCACTTTGACCGCAACATAAGCCCTACCATTGAGGTATCTTTTGTGACCAAAACTGCGCCTTCTGGAAATGACCTTCACAAGTTCCTCATCTGGGACACTGCTGGCCAGGAACGGTTTCATTCGTTGGCTCATGTGCTATGGAGGATCGGCTGCAGCTGATACAGTGCATGATGTTACCCAAACAGGATTCATTTCATACAGATGTTACCCAAACAGGATTCATTTCATGCCTTGAAGAAGTGGGATAAAGAGCTGAAAGAACATGGTCCAGAAAACATTGTAATGACTATTACTGAAACAAGTGCCATCTCTCAGATATTAGGGAGTTTCCCCTGAAGGATGCTGAGGAATATGCTGAATCCGTGGGTGCCATCATGGTTGAGACGAGGGCAAAAAATGCTATTAATATCAAGGTATCAGCCACCAGATCTCATCCTTGGACCCCCACAAAAATGGAAACAGTGGAGCAATGAAACTTGGGAAGCAAACCATGCAAGCCAGCCACAGATGCTGTTGACCCAAGGGCAGCTGTCCCTGGCACTTGAAGAAGCCAGACCCCATGCCCTGAGTGCTGCTGAAAGACCCCATGCTCCGTGGCCTGGCACCTCACTTTCAGAAGAGCGAGTGAGCTGGCTTTACATCCTGGAAGACCTACAGGGTGGGGCAGGAAATGTCCCTAAAACAGATTTTAGAAAACTCTGGAAAAACCCACCACACCACCACAAAATGGCCGTTAGTATGTGAAATGCACATTGGAGGGATGATACTTATTAGGTAATAAGAGTAGTTACATTTTTGCTAAAAACCTTTAAAAATTCTTGGATTTGTATAAAAGCCTACTGCCTTATTATGTGTATGGGATTCCACAGTGGTGTTCCACTCGGATTTCCTGTGCTATCTATCCAAATTTCAGTAACTTCTTCAGTGCCATTGCCTTTGTTACCTAACCAACCTTCACTGAAAGGCAGATTTAATTCAGGAGGTTACTTTTTAGCTAGCTTTGGAAGTAAGCCTTTATTTATTACTTTTCTGAAGGATATCAGAGAAGTGTCAATGGACCATCACTCAGACTGAGACTTGAGCTATTATAGAACCTGGGAAATATGTATTAGAAACTGTTGCCTACACCTCTTTTAATTGGTGAACATTTTTCTAAGTTGTGGTCATATATAAACAAAAAAACCAAATCAGACTAAATCACTGCATATAATTTTGGGACTGGGAGGCCTAGTTCCTCAAAAAGTGAAACGGAATTAACATATGATAATTACCATAACAGCTGCATTCACAATAGCCAAAAAGGGAAAATAATCCAAATGTCCATCAACAGATGAATGGATAAACAAAGTGGTCCATGCATACAACGCAATATTCAAATATAAAAAGCCATGAAGCACTGTTGCATGCTGCAACTTGAATGAGCCTTGAAAATATTATGCTAAGAGATCAAACAAGAAGTAAAAGACCATATATTGTATGATTACATTTCTATGACATGTCCAGAAGAGGCAAATCCAAAGATGCAGAAAGTAGATTAGCCATTGCCAGAGCCGGAAGAAGAAGGGATGGAGAGAGAGTAACCGCAAGGGACACAGATTTCTTTTGCGGGTGAGGGACATGTTCTGGGGTTAGATCATGCTGATAGTGGTACGACTTTGAGAATATATTAAAAACCACTGAACTGTACACTTTAAAGATTAAATTTTATGATGTATAAATTATTTTGCAATACAAAGAAAATAAAGGCAGACTCCATGCGGTAGGAAGTGGTTAACCTACTTGACGGATTTATTTTCTCATCATCTTAAATATAAACAGTGGGGAGGGCCGAGTGCTAGCGGGCCTGGGGGAGTCGGCAGGGCTGGGTCCCCCCTGTTCTCAGAGCCGCTCCAGCCTGCGCCCGAGGCCTGATTACAGAAGGAAACGTGGCCCTTCCGTGCCTGTATCCGGGGCGGGGAGCTTCTGTCTAGGGAAGGAGGCAAACGGCCTCGGGCATGCCCCCACCTCCAGGAACCAGGGAAATGAGGGTGAGGGCCCCACATTCCCTGGCGGAGACGCTGCTGAGCCTCGAGAGGGTGATCTGAAAGAAGCTAGGATCAGGATGATGGCACTTGTGATGACTCAGAACAAAGGCACCACACCCCGGGGCGGGAGGCCGGCGAGTCACCCACGACCACACTCAGGGTCAAAACGCAATTCTGAAAGAGCAAGAAAGTTCAGAAAGTCCATTGCTACGGCCAGGAAGTTCCAGACCCCTCAAGCCTTCACGTGTGACTACGGGATGAGTGCGGGGTAAGCAGACACTAGGCTGGACAACAGCCACCAGTGTCCTGAGGTCTGAGCTTTTGCCGCACAGTCACCTAGGGAGCGACGTCGGCCAGGAGTGCGGGAAGAAGTTTCCTGTGAAGGCAGTGGAGAAAGCTGAGAAATGCCACACAGCGGAGAAGCCGTTTGTGAAATGTGCACAAAAGGTTTCACCACAGAGGCCCACCTGAAAGAATGCCTAAAAATCCACTTAGGGGCCGGGCGTGATGGCTCATGTCTGTAATCCCAGTACTTTGGGAGGCCAAGGTGGGTGGATCACTTGAGGTCAGGAGTTCGAGACCAGGCTGGTGAAACTCCGTCTCTACTAAAAATATAAAAAGTAGCCAGGCATCATGGTGCAAGTCTGAAATACCAGCTACTTGGGAGGCTGAGGCAGGAGAATCACTTGAGCCCAGGAGGTGGAGGTTGCAGTGAGAAGAGATCCTGCCACTGCACTTCAGCTTGGGTGACAGAGTGAGACTCCGTCTCAAAACATACACAGGACCGGGTGTGGTGTGTCACACCTATAATCACAGCACTTTGGGAGGCCGAGGCAGGCGGATCACAAGGTCAGGAAATCGAGACCAGCCTGACCAACATGGAGAAACCCCATCTCTACTAAAAATACAAAAATTAGCCAGGCGTGGTGGTGGGTGCCTGTAATCCCAGCTACTCGGGAGGCTGAGGCAGGAGAATCGTTTGAACCCAGGAGGCGGAGGTTGCAGTGAGCCGAGATCGCGCCACTGCACTCCAGCCTGGGTGACAGAGGGAGACTCCGTCTCAAAAAAATAAGGATACACACACAGACATAACGCACACACACTGGATGTAAGCCCTACAGTTGTGAGCTGTGTGGAAAATTATTTATTCGTGCCCCAGACTTAAAGCACTGTCAGAGAGTTCACAATAACAAAAGAGTTTGCATGCCAGGTGAGTGACAAAGCCTTCAAACCCAAGTCCCACCTCAAGATCACGAAAGAGGACACAGAAGGGAAATGCCTTGCGTGTGGCTCCTGCACTGAGGCATTTATTTGCCAAGGAGTCTGCTCCGTAAAGGCATGAGAACCATGTGCACAGTGAAAGGATGCAGGTTACCCACAGTGCCATCCAGCAGGGGACCCAGCTGCTGCAGGTGGCATTGATGGCGGAAGCAGAGCAGCAGCTGGAAACACAGCCTGAAGCTAGGGGTGAGGGACAGGGACACTGCCTGGGAAGTAGAGACAGAGATGACATGGATTATAATGAATGGGTGCCAGTTACCCATTTCTGTGGAAGTGTATGGAGCAAGGTACTCAGTTGACTTCAGGCAGTGCTTAGATATTTGTAAGACTTTCCAAGGAAATGATGTTCCTCAGTTCTGACCATGCCGTTTCACTGCCCTGTCGTGATTTTGAGAACTCCTGTGTCCAGTTCAGATGCCAGAGACTTCTATCCCATCTTTAATTGCACTACACTCGCCACACTGGCAAGTGCCCTGCACAGAGTACTAAATGAATTTTCTAATCATCACAATTCTGTGATTTATGGTCAAAAGAGCAGGTTTAGTAACTTAATAATTAAGTTCTTCAGATAGATGCAGAAAATATTCGTGGGTGACCAAGAACATTGTGCAAATATCAAACCAAGTTCTAGAGATGCAGAATGGTGTTAGATTTGTTTGGTTTGTTAATTTTACGTGACGCTTTTTCACTGTTTTGTGGACAAATCATGGTTTTTTTGCTGAAGTGTTTCTTCATCCATTTTGGTTGCCCTGTACCTACCCCAGAAGCTGAAGTCACACGCACCGAAGGCTGAGCAAACCCATGATGGTGGTGATCTTGGGGCTGAGCTCTCAGGTTCCTATGACTGGGGGCAATGCTATGCCATACCAGCTAAGATTTGTGGAGTGGTGCAGTGGTGAGGAGAAAAGGCTCTCAGAGACAAGGCTTTACATGTGTAACAATTCCAAGGTTTCCTAGATTAAAATCATTCTTAATTGATTTTGAAATTGGATTTTTATTTAGAATTGAAATCAGAACAAGAACAGATATGTTTCTTTAGATATATTTGTATAACTTCACAGAATGTCATCAAGATTTTGGGGTCTCTGGGGCACATGATTTACCCATAAAGGAGATGCAATATGCTTATCGATTTGATTTAAAATCTGTTAAGTGTGTAAAAAGTAAACAATGCAGTAATCACAAATAAAATATCTATTTAATAAAGCATGCCCTATTTAGCAACATCTTAAAGTAGGTAGCTCAAGGTTAACTATATAGACCTGAAAATTATTAAAATGTTACTTTTGAAATATTTTCAGTACAAATTTTTCATAAATTTCATCTGGCTTCCAATAACTGTCCACATTAAGAAGGTGTTACGGGCTAATTATGTCTCTCACAAAATTCATAGATTGAAGTTATGCTGAAGTCTTAACCCATGTGCCTTAAAATATGACTGTATTTCGAGACAGGTCCTGTATATTAAAAGTAAAATGAGGTCTTATGGGTAGGCCCTAATCCAATGTGACTGGCATCCTTATAAGAGATGAGGACACAAACAGGCACAGAGTAGAGACCATGTGAAGGCACATGGAAAAAGACGGCCATCTACAAGCTAGACACATGCATATTGGTACTCAAGTGATACCACAGGGGACCCTCTGTAGGTTTCTGGTGCTGTCTGTGCATCTCCCTCCCTTCCAGTGATCTGCCTTGCAAATTCTGGCTGCCTTGGCCTCTAAGCTCTGACTCTGTCTCCCTGACTTAGTGAATTAACCAGGCTTCATTTCCCCTCCCTGTAGTGAGGCCTGGAATCTGCCCTTAAGCACTAAGCTGGTGTAATTGTAGAACTTACTTTTTCAGTTTTTCTTCTTAGGTATTACTGTTCTGTGTTGCCTGTTACATGACATCTGGAAAACCACTGTCTCAGATATATCTTGTCCAGTCTTCTAGGTAAGGCATGGGGGTAAACCTACGACCTATTACTCTATCTTGGCTAAAAGCTGGTCTTGAATCTTCCAGATTGGAAGCATTTCCAAAGGAAGTGGGGGACTCTATATTAGTAGCCAATTGGTAAGCAGGTCAAATTTCTAAGAGTTTCTCTAGCTCATTTTTGTTGAAATTTGACTAAAATGGTTGATGTTTGACTGTGGACACATTTGAGAATACTTAGATAAAGGGGAGTCTGGGTGGAATGGATCCAGGACATCAACCCTTTCAGCTGAACACATTCACATCCCAGAATCTCAGACATTTCTGGTTCCATTTGCTTACATCCAAAATTAAGAGTTTTCTGCACTCAGGCCTATTTGTTTGGGTGATGTCAAGGGTGGGTGGAAATAAAAATCCTCCCTCACTAAGAAGCCTGTACACTTGTGGAGTTCAGCTTTTACTACTTTCAGGCCAGGTGGACTGGCAACTTTCTCACTGAAACAGTGTGAATAAACTTGGTGTGTAGCTTTTTAAAACCCATTTGGAATAAAATTGGAACAATTTAGCAAGCAGTTAAGAACTAATTAAATCTTTGCATTGTTTTCATGGGAAACATAATACATTATAGTTATTTGTGATTTTTTTTTTTTGAGATGGAGTTTTGCTCTTGTCACCCAGGCTGGAGTTCAATGGTGCTATCTTGGCTCACTGCAACCTCCACCTCCTGGGTTCAAGTGATTCTCCTGCCACAGCCTCCCTACTAGCTGGGATTACAGGCGCCTGCCACCATGCCTGGCTAATTTTTGTATTTTTAGTAGAGACAGGGTTTCACCATGTTGGCCAGGCTGGTCTCGACCTCCTGACCTTAGGTGATCCACCTGCCTCGGCCTCCCAAAGTGCTGGGATTATAGGCATGAGCCACTGTGCCTGGCCTGTGATTTTTTTTTTTAAGAGACAGGGCCTCACTCTGTCACCCAGGCTGGAGTGCAGTGGTGCAATCATAGCTCACTGCAGCCTGTAACTCCTGGGTTCTAGCAATCCTCCTACTTCTACCTCCTGAGTAGCTGGAACCACAGATGCATGCCACCATGCCTTCCTAATTTTTAAAATTTTTTAGAGATGAGGTCTTGCTATGTTGCCCTGGCTGGTCTCAAACTCCTAGTCCCAAGCGATCTTCCCACCTCAGCCTCCCAGAGTGCTGGGATTACAGGCATCCAGCCTAAAATAAATTTTTAAGAAGCAGCTTACAACTTCCATTAAGGCATGGGAGGCGGCAGTTGCAGTGAGCCAAGATCACGCCATTGCATTCCACCCTGGGTGACAGAGAGGGAAGGGAAGGGAAAGGAAAAGGGAGAGGGAAAGGGAAAGGGAAAGGGAAGGGGAAGGAGATGGAGGGGAAGGGGAAGGGGAAGGGGAAGGAGATGGAGGGGAAGGGGAAGGAGATGGAGGGGAAGGGGAAGGGGAAGGGGAAGGGGAAAAGAAAGAAAACAGAACTCATACTGTCAAGAAACCTTATAAAAGTAAGAAATGTAATCAAGCTCTCATCCTTAGATGTTTAGTTCCAAGAACCAACTCTCATACAGCCTTTCTCAGTTGAGTTTCTATCACTTACAACTGAAAGAATTCCAGCAATGGGCTATAACACAACTATCAAAAGAATAAGGTGGATTTGTATGTACAGACATATTTTTCTGCAATATATTAAGGGAAAATAGCAATAGCAATTCTCAGAGCATTGATATATTACACCTGTTTTGTTTTTAAAATATATATTTTTTTCTATTAATAGTGAGAACTAAAAAAAGAGGAGAATGTTCACCACATATAAGACTTTAAAACATATACATATATATATTTAATCACAGAATAAAACAAAATGTTATAAAATTAAATGCTATGCATAAATTTTGCATCAAAGGCCAATTATCAAAATTTATTTCAACTTAATTTCCATAGAAGCCTGTGGAATGTACTTCCTAGAAAGGAATAAGAATAAAAACAGCAAACTGAATTACAAAGAAACATGAACGACACGGTTCTTATGAGCTCATCAGTGTTCTATTGAACTTTCTTCAATCTCCCTCTGAAAAGCAAAATCCAGAAAATGATTATTTCACCATCCTTCTGTAACTCCAGAAAAGTGAAGTGTATATACACTTGAGATCAAATGATCTCTGGGCAGTTTTTAAAAATATATTCGTGTTAATATCTATGGTGCAATAATACAACAAGAAACTGAAGAAGGGAAATACATCTAAAGAAGCTAAAATAAAATACTCAAATCAGCAAAATAGAATTTTGCTACCTGCCATAAATTCAAGGTCACACTAAGAGTGGACCATAAGGACAGGACACACAATTAGTCAACACAGAAGGCTATCCTTTCTCCACATCAGTGTTTTCATCTCAAATATCAAACCCATACCCCTCTAGGGCACTCCCTAAATTCCCTATGCTATACCATTTGAGATGTTTAACTCTCCATGATTGAGGCAAAATGTACTGCATATAACTTAAATAAGAACAAAGTAGGCCTACTCATTATAATGAATCATGTGAATAAAAATTAATATAAGCTTAGATTTAAGCTAAAATAGACATGAAATCTGAAAAACTCCATGTTATAAAAAGAAACAAGGAAGGTATAAATGTTACTAACTTATCTACAAAATCTAAACCAAGATAAAGTAGAAATTCAATTGAAAAATCAATGTGATTTGGGAGGCTGAGGTGGGTGGATCACTTGAGGTCAGGAGTTTGAGAACAGCCTGGGCAACATGGTGAAACCCCATATCTACTAAAAATACAAAAAAAAGGCCAGGCACGTGGCTCATGCCTGTAATCCCAGCACTTTGGGAGGCCAAGGTGGGTGGATCACTTGAGGTCAGGAGTTTGAGACCAGCCTGGCCAACATGGTTAAACCCTGTCTCTACTAAAAATACAAAAATTAGCCAGGCATGGTGGCTGTCATACCAGCTACTTGGGAGGCTGAGGCATGAGAATCACTTGAACCCAGGAGACTGAGGTTGCAATGAGCCGAGATCATGCCACTGCACTCCAGCCTGGGTGACAAAGTGAAGCTCCATCTCAAAAACAAAACAAAATAAAATAAAAATAAAATAAATACAAAAAAAAAATTAGCTGGGCATGGTGGCGGGCACCTATAATCCCAGCTACTCAGGCGACTGAGGCAGGAGAATTGCTTGAATTCAGGAGGTGGAGGTTACAGTAAGCCGAGATAGTGCCACTGCACTCCAGCCTGGGTGACAGAGCAAGACTCCATCTCAAAAAAAAAAAAAAAGTGATTTTTTTTTAAGTTGAATAAATGGTTTTTATCTTAAGGCATCACATCTAGAGGCAAAAATTAAAAAAAAGAATAAAAGGTTTTAATATCAACATTTGGCTGAAACTGATGCAGAAATGAACATTACTTTTTAAACCTCCTTGCAACAAGATTTTTTAAAAGTAAAAATACCTTTCAATGATCAAATAATAAATCTAACATAAATCCTACATTTAGTAGCATCCAAAAAATAAGAATTATTTTTTACTCAAATTTAAAAAACAAACATAACCACACTTAATGGGAAAAAATGTAATACTCTTTCTAAAGCATGAAAACAGATACCAAAATACCATGTATTCTTAAATGACCACATATGCTACACTGACACTATGGCCCACAGTGAGTTTGAAAAGATATAACAAGATTCAATTTTGTTATTTCATCACTATAATTTTAATCATTAGGCATATTAATGTCACATACAGTTTTTAAAATATAAATATTTTTAAAGCTGTTTTACAATATGATAACAAGAACACCCAGCAGATACAGGTTGTACAGTTAATCATTTTGACTGTGTCAGTAATATAATCAGAATACTGTAACGGTAAGAGAAAAATACTTTTTTTTTTTTTTGAGACTGGGTCTCGCTCTGTCGCCCAAGCTGGAATGCAGTGGCGCAATCACACCTCACTGCAGCCTCAACCTCCTGGGCTCAAGGATCCTCTAGCCTCAGCCTCCTGAGTAGCTGGAACTACATGCATGCACCACCACACTCAGCTAATTTTTTTTAAATTTATTTTTAGTAGAGACAGGGTCTCACTATGTTGCCTAGGCTAGTCTTGAACTCCTGGGCTCAAGTGATCCTCCTGCCTCAGCCTCCCAAAGTGCTGCGATTACAAGCGTGAGCCACCGCCTGGCCCGAAAAATACCTTGTTTTTAATCATTCCCATTCAGCAATAGTGAAAATGCTCTATGTACAACATTGGCTCTGAATAACACATTTCATTTCTGCTTCAAACCTCCTATGCTGTCTATCGCTGTTTTGACGACTGCATAGCTCAACAGAAAAATGCGTCCCATTGACGTCTCAATAATAAGTCTGATTAGGCAGATAAATTCCCAATCATAAAAGCTTTTATTTTAAGACAAGTATTATGCAAATACAGGATGGAAATCAGACTCACTGTAATTGGGATGAAAAGGCAACTCTAAGAAGAATGCTGTACATATGACACCTATTGCATTTTTATGCACTAGTCTTGCATTCCCTTCCTTACTTCCTCGTCTTTGAAGTGCTAAAGGTAATTACACTAAAAAGTTACTACCAGGCTTAATATGAGAGAACCATGTGTATAAGAAAGCAAGACTTTCAGATAAGCAATCTCCAAATATTTTCTATTTTATATGCATTTATGATTTTTCTTATAAAGAGGGAGTGTTTTATGTGCAACACCTGCAAATGGAAATAAATCTACCTTTCACTCAAGCCCAAATAATCAAATATAAAATACAGACAATACAGCAAACTACAATGGCAGCAGTGATTCTTAGGGCAGCATGTGCAAAATCCAGTATTTTGCTATCTACTTACATCACTGTAGTCAGAAAAGAAATGTGCCAAAACTACCTTTCCCATTCCACTTGAACTGGTTCCCCACAATCCCAACAAACATCTCCTGTGACATTAAGTTGTCATCAGCTTGCGTGATCCCCAGTTCACTCAACCTTTTCTTCTTTATCTGGCCTTTCTGTGTGGAGGCAGCAATTAGTTCATTTACAATTTCACAATTTCCCTCGACTTGCTCAGAAGGGTCAGTTCTTGCACAAAGCTCCATTTTACCAGTTGCACACTCAATCAGCTCTTCTAGATCCACTCTTTCAGCCACATCTGGCTCTCCACTTGTCTGAATTTTAAGCGCTTTATTTTCTGGAGAAACAAACAAATAATAACAAAGTTAAATATACAAGCTAACCCAACAAAAACATATATTTCTACACAGTCTTCTCAACAAGCAGCTGCCTTGCTTTCTATACCAAGGTTCCCTGACCCTCACACAGGATCACCAATTTTGAACTCTTCCTTTACCCTTTTCATCCCAGAATCACTTTTACTCAACAGACATTTCCTGGATAGTTACTATCTGCTAAGCACTGCGTTAGGAGATAGGATGCACAGATTGATAAGATAGTGCCACTTTTCTAAATGAAGTCCCAATCTAGCAGCTAATTCTAGATAGGCCCCATGATCCCCACCCCCTGGTATTACTTTCATGCCTATTAAATGGCAGAAGAATTTTGCACTGTAATTTTACAATGTAATTAAGATTGCTAATCAGTTTTCTCCAGCTGGTTGCTAAAGAGGAAGTCAGAGAAATTCAGAGCATGAGAGATTTGCCTTGAGGGATGTTCTCTGTTGCTGAGATGGGGGGGCCATGAGGCAAGAACCTGAGAGCAGCCTCTAGGAGCTGAGTGCCAGCCCCAGCAAACAGCCAGCAGCCAGCAAGAAAATGGAGACTTCAGACCCATGAGCTAAAGGAATGAATTCTGCCCATGAATGATATGAATGCGTTTGGAGACAGAGTCTGCCCCCAGAGCTTTCAGATGAGTCCTGCCCAGCTGACACCTTTATTTTACTTTTGTGAGACCTGTGAAGAAATAAAGAACTTGCAGAGATGTAACTGGAGCAGATCCTGAAGGATGACAAGGACTACCCTTTAAACTCTTTCAACCTGAAAAAGCTGATTAAATAAATAAACTGCTTTAAACTTTCCTCACCTACATCAAAGCTTAATCCTTCTCTATGACTGAGACTTAATAGTGGTCTACATCATAGCTTGAAGTTCACAGATTTCCACTGAGTTAGCTCCCCTTCGCTGCCAAGAAAGGCAGGTGACAGGAAGGCATTTACTTCTACCAATAAAAACAGAGGTAAACTCCACTATCCCCTCCAGGAAATGCAGCCTTCAGCCTGGCACATTCATTTCACTGTCTCCAGCCTTAACAAACGCCAGTAGGAGCCACCATTGCTGTCACACACCCACTGTTGCTGTCACACACCCACCATAGCATCACACACCCACCATTGCTATCACACACCCATCGTTGCTATCACACATCCACCCTCATTGAAAGCTAACCATGATAAGAAGGGAACTGCACAGAAACCACAACATCAAGATTTTGAATGACAGTTGAACTAGTTGACCTTGAAAGTTTCTTTCACAGTCTGTAATGTTATGACTTAATGTTACCAAGCTTCTCTCTCTCCATGCCCAAGCATATCCCAACAACCTTTTTTAAGGAAGAGAGGAAGACTCAGATCCTTAATCAGCATTTAATGCTGAAATAAATTATGTCTGGTTTTTATATTAAAAATTACTAAATATACCTTCAGTTCCATCTTCAGCATTTTCTTGCAGGTCAGAGAAGATTGTAGGTTTCACCAAGACAACACCATAACCTTCATTATTATGTATTATATTATTCACCATGGATATCTTGGGAATGTCATAATGTTCATCTAAGAAGTCCTGTGACATTGAAAACAAATGTTTTAGGAACTGTCATATTCAACATTTCCTGCCTTAAAAATCTTCTTTATTCACACTATTCTAAAAATAAAAGGAAAAAGCTATGTTTAGTCCCATGTTGTAGCACAGTCTGCACCCTTAGTGACACAGCTTTCCTCTGTCATTTCTGCAGATCTATAGGTAACAGCATTCTCACAAGAGATTCCAATCACTGATATTATCAAAATGTGTACACTGTTTATGCTTTTCAAAACCAGAAAATAGAACCCAACAATTTAATAAAGCATAATTTGTAGGTAAAACCATTCTATCCATTGAAAAGTGGGTGTTTTGGCTGATGCTCACCTTAATGAGGATCCCTTCCTTGCAGTGATGGATCCCATTGTCACTCAGGGTGCACTGACTCCCAGGGTAGATTTCTATACCAGCACCCTGTGAGTCACAGTTTGAGATAATGACAATCAGTTTTTAAAAGGCAAGACTATAAGAGTTTATTACAATTACTTCTTAGCCTTTAACACAGTACAAATGTACAGCACAAAGATAAAGTACTTTACAGATAAGTTTTACCAGCCATTTTTAATCAACATTTCCATTTGTTCCATTTCTAGCAAGTTGTTGACAATTTATCATTTTCAAAACCACACACACACACACACACACACACACACACGCTAAGAGTGCCAACACTTGATTCTTGCTCTACTCTCTTTCATTCTAGATAAATGTTTTCTGATTCTGCCAAGAAAAAAAAAAAGTCATTTAACAATTTTGTTGAAAGACACACTTATTCAAAATGACCATTCTCTCAGATACTCAATTAGTTGGAGATAAGTATTTGAATTTAGTAAAATATTGTAATTTGAGGATAGAAACAAGACCCCACATTTTCCAAAACGTGTCAGTTTTAAAATACCCCAACCCAACTTAAAAATCATTTCTATGAGTCCAACAATGGCTTTCCCTACCACACACGTTAACATCAGCAGCCAGTTCAAGTGTCATTCAAACAGAGTAACCAGAAAGATCAAACATGACACTATTCTCTCATACCTTATGGCACCAAAAAACATAAAAATAGTAAGAATTTCTTTCCTAATGCTATGCAAGGCACTCTGGAAAACAAAAATGATTCACTCAAACCTCTATAGTTATTTCAGCAACCATTTGGGAATAATTTAATGCACAACAGCATCGATGAAGAAGAGTTGCTGTAACCATTGATGACACATCTAATGCATGTATGTTCAGTTAATTTTCTAGTAGCAGTAGTATTCCATGAGAAAACATTTATTATTACTTAACCCTGTACATATGCCTGAACCATATGTATACACCAATCTAACTCTTTTGTAGAGAGGATTTTAAAAATGTGCTAATTGTGTCTTCTAAGAGATTTTCAGTTTGGGGTTATGTGCAAAAAAAGATTTTGGGGCGACTATGTTTAAAAATATCTATAGCAAGATGGTTAAAATTAAATATCAAACTGTCAGGAATCACATAAAATTTGTAAAGGAGAACAATTTAAACCAGCAGTCATGTAGCAAGTGAAAGTCATATTCAAAATATGTTATGAAAAGGAACAGATAATTTGGCAATTAAAAAGTAACTGAGGAGCCTGCCACTTCTGGGATGATGGAGTAGATGTCCCTATTCCTCCTGCTAGGTACGACCAAAAACCATGGGCATTATATATAAAACAAGCATAAGACTGAAAAATGGAGAGAAGAAGGCAGACCAGCTAGGGACCTCAGGACCCAAGAAACAACACCAACACAGTGGTAAGTTCCTTTCTTTTTGCTTCATAATCCCTAGACTTGGAGCTGAAGAAGCCAGCAATCCAGTACACCAACAGACATACACCCAAAAAAAAGCTGCTCTAACGAAAGGACTAGGCAACCTAGAAAGAGGAAAACTTTTAGATAATAATAGCTCTATTCCAGGTAAACACCACAGAGCCAGGACTTTCATCCCCACCAACCACAGTTGCAAGGCCCTCCCTGCAGCAGTGTCAGTGAAAACTATATGAGGAGCCTGGACTTGTACCCCCACCTGGCAGTGCCAAGACAACCACTCCCTCCCTACTGGGGCAGTGTCAGAGCAGGCCTAGTGGAGATTCCAGACTTTCACCATTGCCCACTGGTAACAAGACCACTCCCATATATCACAGTGCCAGTGGAGACCATGTAGGAAGCTAGACCTCCCACCCCTACATAGCAGTAAGAAGGAGCTCCCCCACCCAACTTGGGTATCAATGAACGCCAAGTGGGAACCATGACTTCTACCTCCACCAGTAACAAGATGATACCCATCTACCGCCAACCCTGTCCCTTCTTGTAGTAGTATCAGAGAAGCCAAGTTAAAACAGAAGATCCAGATTCTCACAACATAATATAAAAATATCCAACTTTCATTTGAAAATCCCTTGTCATACCAAGAATCAGGAAAATGTCAAAATGAATAAGACAATTAACAGATGCCAAAACCAAGATGTCAGAGATGATAGAATTAACTGACAGTGATTTTAAAGCAGCCATGATAAAAATGCTTCAATAAGCAATTATGAACACACATAAAACCAATGAAAAATGAAGTCTCAGCAAAGAAGTAGATGATATAAAGAACCAAATGGAAATTTTAGAATTGAAAAATACAATAACTGAAATAGAAAGCTCAATGGATGTGCTCAACAGCAGAATGAAAACAACAGAGGAAAGAATCAGTGAACTGGAAGACAGAACAGTAAAATTTACCCAATAGCAGAGAAAACAGTGAAAAAGAAAAGTAAACAGAGCTCCAGGGGTCTGCTGGAATATAACAAAAGATCCAATATTCATGTCATCAGAGTCCTGGAAAGAAAGAGGGTGAGGCTAAAAACATACTTCAAGAAATAGTGACTAAAAGCTCCCAAATTTGGCAGGATTTGGATAATAAGCCTACAGGTTCAAGAAGCTGAGCAGACACCAAACAGGATAAACTCAAAGAAATCCACGCCAACATACATCATAATTAAACTAGTGTAAGCTTAAAACAAAAATCTTGAAAGCATCAATTAAAATTTTATGCCTTACCTATAGGAGAGAAAATGTGATTGACAGCATCAGAAACCATGGACGTCAGATGAAAGACACACAGTATTGTTCAAGGGCTAAAAGAAAAAAAATTGTCAACCCAGAATCCTATAACCAGTGAAAATATTCTTCAGGAATGAGGAGGAAATCAAGATATTCTAAGAAGAAGGAAAAATAGGAAAATTTGTCACCAGCAGACGTATCTTCATAGAATGACTAAAGGAAGTTATCTAAACAAAAAAGAAATGATAAAAGAGAAGATCCTGGAACATCAAAAAGAAAAAAAAAGAACACAGTAAGCAAAGATATAGGTAAATACAATAAGCTTTCCTTCTCTTGAGTGTTCTAAATTATGTTTGACATTTGAAACAAAAATCATAAAATTCTCTAATATGGTTCTAGATGTACGTACATAAGGCAAATGTTTAAGACAATTATAAAAAGGAGATGGTAGAGAATAATAAAAGGAGGCAAGGTTTCTATACTTTACTTGAACTGGTGACACCAGTAAACTGTTATGTACATATAATATACAACCTAGGGCGACCACTAAAAAAGTTATATGAAGAGATATTCTCAAAAACAAATGAAATTCTGAAAAATGTTCAGCTATCCACAGGATGGCAGAAAAAAAGCAAATCAAGAAATGAAAAGCATAACAAACAGAAAACACGAAATAAACTAAAGATTTAATATCAATAATTAAATGTAAGTGGTCTAAATACAATTAAAAGACAAAGATTGCCAAAGTGGATTAAAAACATGACTCAACTATATGCTGTCTACAACTCACTTCAAACAGAATATAGGCAAGTTGAAATTAAAACAATAGAAAAAGACTATTCAACAAGAGCTAACTATCCTAAATATATATGGGTGCATATAACTATCCTAAATATATATGCACCCAATACAGGAGCACCGGATTCATAAAGCATGCCCTTAGAGACCTACAAAGAGACTTAGACTCCCACACAATAATAATGGGAGACTTTAACACCCCACTGTCAACATTAGACAGATCAACAAGACAGAAAGTTAACAAGGATACCCAGGAATTGAACTCAGCTCTGCACCAAGCGGACCTAATAGACATCTACAGAACTCTCCACCCCAAATCAACAAAATATACATTCTTCACAGCACCACATCACACTTATTCCAAAATTGACCACATAGTTGGAAGTAAAGCACTCCTCAGCAAATATAAAAGAACAGAAATTATAACAAACTGTCTCTCAGACCACAGTGCAATCAAACTAGAACTGAGGATTAAGAAACTCACTCAAAACAAAACTGCTCCACTACATGGACACTGAACAACCTGCTCCTGAATGACAACTGGGTACATAACGAAATGAAGGCACAAACAAAGATGTTCTTTGAAACCAACGAGAACAAAGACACAACATACCAGAATCTCTGGGACACATTTAAAGCAGTGTGTAGAAGGAAATTTATAGCACTAAATGCCCACAAGAGAAAGCAGGAAAGATCTAAAATTGACACCCTAACATCACAATTAAAAGAACTAGAGAAGCAAGAGAAAGCACATTCCAAAGCTAGCAGAAGGCAAGAAATCACTAAGATCAGAGAAGAACTGAAGGAAATAGAGACACAAAAAACCCTTCAAAAAATCAATGAATCCAGGAGTTGGTTTTCTGAAAAGATTAACAAAATTGACAGACCACTAGCAAGACTAATAAAGAAGAAAAAAGAGAGAAGAATCAAATAGATGCAATAAAAACTAATAAAGGGGATATCACCACCAATCCCACAGAAATACAAACTACCATCAGAGAACACTATAAACACCTCTATGCAAATAAACTAGAAAATCTAGAAGAAATGGATAAATTCCTCAACACATACACCCTCCCAAGACTAAACCAGGAAGAAGTTGAATCTCTGAATAGACCAGTAACAGGTTCGGAAATTGAGGCAATATTTAATAGCCTACCAATCAAAAAAAGTCTAGGACCAGACGGATTCACAGCCGAATTCTACCAGAGGTACAAAGAGGAGCTGGTACCATTCCTTCTGAAACTATTCCAATCAATAGAAAAAGAGGGAATCCTCCCTAACTCATTTTATGAGGCCAGCATCATCCTGATACCAAAGCCTGGCAGAGACACAACAAAAAAAGAGAATTTAGACCAATATGCCTGATGAACATCGATGCAAAAATCCTCAATAAAATACTGGCAAACCGAATCCAGCAGCACATCAAAAAGCTTATCCACCATGATCAAGTTGGCTTCATCCCTGGGATGCAAGGCTGGTTCAACATATGCAAATCAATAAACGTAATCCATCATATAAACAGAACCAAAGACAAAAACCACATGATTATCTCAATAGATGCAGAAAAGGCCTTCAACAAAATTCAACAGCGTCTCATGCTAAAAACTCTCAATAAACTAGGTATTGATGGGATGTATCTCAAAATAATAAGAGCTGTTTATGACAAACCCACAGCCAATATCATAATCAATGGGCAAAAACTGGAAGCATTCCCTTTGAAAACTGTCACACAAGACAGGGATGCCCTCTCTCACCACTCCTATTCAACATAGTGTTGGAAGTTCTGGCCAGGGCAATCAGGCAGGAGAAAGAAATAAAGGGTATTGAATTAGGAAAAGAGGAAGTCAAATTGTCCCTGTTTGCAGATGACATGATTGCATATCTAGAAAACCCCATCGTCTCAGCCCAATATCTCCTTAAGCTGATAAGCAACTTCAGCAAAGTCTCAGGATACAAAATCAATGTGCAAAAATCACAAGCATTCCTATACACCAATAACAGATAAACAGAGAGTCAAATCATAAGTGAACTCCCATTCAAAATTGCTTCAAAGAGAATAAAATACTTAGGAATCCAACTTATAAGGGATGTGAAGGACCTCTTCAAGGAGAACTACAAACCACTGCTCAATGAAATAAAAGAGGACACAAATGGAAGAACATTCCATGCTCATGGATAGGAAGAATCAATATCATGAAAATGGCCATACTGCCCAAGGTAATTTATAGATTCAATGCCATCCCCATCAAGCTACCAAGGACTTTCTTCACAGAATTGGAAAAACTACTTTAAAGTTCATATGGAACCAAAAAAGAGCCCACATCGCCAAGACAATCCTAAGCCAAAAGAACAAAGCTGGAGGCATCACGCTACCTGACTTCAAACTATACTACAAGACTACAGTAACCAAAACAGCATGGTACTGGTACCAAAACAGAGATATAGACCAATGGAACAGAACAGAGCCCTCAGAAATAATACCACACATCTACAACCATCTGATCTTTGACAAACCTGACAAAAACAAGAAATGGGGAAAGGATTCCCTATTTAATAAATGGTGCTGGGAAAACTGGCTAGTCATATGTAGAAAGCTGAAACTGGATCCCTTCCTTACACCTTACAAAAATTAATTCAAGATGGATTAAAGACTTAAATGTTAGACCTAAAACCATTAAAACCCTAGAAGAAAATCTAGGCAATACCATTCAGGACATACGCATGGCAGGACTTCATGACTAAAACACCAAAAGCAATGGCAACAAAAGCCAAAATTGACAAATGGGATCTAGTTAAACTAAAGAGCTTCTGCACAGCAGAACAAACTACCATCAGAGTGAACAGGCAACCTACAGAATGCAAGAAAATTTTTACAATCTACCCATCTGACAGAGGGCTAATATCCAGAATCTACAAAGAACTTAAACAAATTTACAAGAAAAAATCAAACAACCCCATCAAAAAGTGGGCAAAGGATATGAACAGACACTTCTCAAAAGAAGACATTTATGCAGCCAACAGACACATGAAAAAATGCTCGCCATCACCGGCCATCAGAGAAATGCAAATCAAAAACACAATGAGATACCATTTCACACCAGTTAGAATGGTGATCATTAAAAAGTCAGGAAGCAACAGGAGCTGGAGAGGATGTGGAGAAATAGGAACACTTTTACACTGTTGGTGGGAGTGTATATTAGTTCAACCATTGTGGAAGACAGTGTGGCAATTCCTCAAGGATCTAGAACTAGAAATACCATTTGATCCAGCCATCCCATTACTGGGTATATACCCAAAGGATTATGAATCATGCTGCTATAAAGACACATGCACATGTATCTTTATTGAGGCACTATTCACAATAGCAAAGACTTGGAACCAACAAAAATGTCCATCAAAAATAGACTGGATTAAGAAAATGTGGCACATATACACCATGGAATACTATGCAGCCATAAAAAAGGATGAGTTCACGTCCTTTGTAGGGACATGGATGAAGCTGGAAACCATCATTCTGAGCAAACTATCGCAAGGACAGAAAACCAAACACCGCATGTTGTCACTCATAGGTGGGAATTGAACAATGAGAACACTTGTACACAGGGTGGGGAACATCACACACTGGGGCCTGTTGTGGGGTGAGGGGAGCGGGGAGGGATAGCATTAGGAGATATACCTAATGTAAATGACGAGTTAATGGGTGCAGCACACCAACATGGCACATGTATACATATGTAACAAACCTGCACGTTGTGCACATGTACCCTAGAACTTAAAGTATAATTTAAAAAAAATAGAAAAAGACATATCATGCAAACAATAATCAAAGGAAAGCAGGTGTGGCTATATTCACATCAGATAAAGTAGACTTTGGAGCAAAAAAAATTACCAGAGACAGACATAATCATAAACATGCTGACTCACCAAAAAGACACAGCAATCCTAAGTGAGCATACACCAAACAGAACTGCAAAATATGTGAAGCAAAAACTAATAGTACTGAAAAGGCAAACAAACAAATTCAGTTATAGTTAGAGACTTCAACACCCCTCTCTCAACAATTGGCAGAAAAAAAAAATCAGAAAGAATACAAAAGAACTCAACACCACCAACCAACTTGATCTAGTTGACATTTTATAGAATATACCACCCAATGACAGCGGAATACACATTCTTTTCATTTGCTCACAGAATATGTATCCAGATAGACCATATCCTGAGCCATAAAAGAAACCTCTAGAAATATAAAAGAATTAAAATCATATAGTGTGTTTTCCGACCACAATGGAATGAAACTGGAATTCAACAACAGAAAGATAATAGTAAAACTCCAAATATTTAGAAACTAAACAACACACTTCTAAATTCTGCACAAACCAACGAATAAAAATAAATATCAAAATTTACAAAACAGCTAGAGCAATGCTGAGAGACAAGTTTATAGCATTAAATGCTTACATTAGAAAAGAGAAAAAGTCTCAAATCAATAATCTAATCTCTCAGGTGGAAAACCCAAAACAAGTAAAATAAATCCAAAACAAGCAGAAGGAATGAAATCATAAAAAGAACATAAAAAAGTAAAACTAAAAATTAAAATTAAATCTAAAAAAAGAACATAAGTGAAATTGAAAACAGAACAATTATCAAAAAGAAAAAAAACACAGAACAATGAAACAAAGAGTTGGTTCTCAAAAGAGAGAAGACACAAACTACCAACATCAAGCATGAAACAGGGATCATTACTATATACCCTGCAGATATCAGAAGAATAAGGAAATACTACAAACAATTCTATGCATATAAATCTGACAACTTAGAAGTAGTAGTCCAATACCACAAAAAGCACAAACTACCAAAATATACTCAATATGAAATAGGTCATTTGAATATCCTTTTAACTATTAATGAAATTGAATTCATAATTTTAAAAATTCCAAAAGAGAAATCTCCGGGCCCAGGTGATTGCATTGGAGAAATCCATCAAACATCTGAAGAATAAACAGCAATTCTACACAATCTCGTTTACAAAATACAAGAGAAGGGAACACTTCAGTATTCATTTTATGAAGCTATTATTATCGATAATAGAACCAGACAAAGACAGTGGCACAGAAAACCAAAACTAGAGTCCAATATTCATGAATATAGATGCAAAATTTCCTAACAAAAGATTAGCAAATATAATTCAGCAATATATAAAAATAATTATATACCATGACCAAGTGGGTTTTATGCCACAGAGGCAAGGCTGGCTCAAAATTTGAAAATCAACCAATGTAACCCACCATTTTCTGTTTTCCAGTAAGAAAAATCATGCGATCATATCAATCTATCCAGAAAAAACATTAAAAGTCAGCCTAGTCCTGAGAAAGGAACTCAGAAAAAAAGAAGTCAACATCCACTTATGATAAAAATTCTCAAAAAAAAAAAAAAAAAAAAAAAAAGCAGAAATTCTTCAACTTAATAACGAATATCTAAAAACCTGGTCAACCTTATTCTTTTTGATGGAATACTAAATATATTCTCTCTAATATCAAAACCAAGGTAAGGATGTCTGCTTTCATAGTGCTGGAAATTCTAGCCAGTGCAATAAGGCAAGGGGGGAAAAAGGCATAAAGATTAGAAAAGAAAAAAAAGAACCTGCACTTATTTGCAGATAACATTACTCTCTATATAGAAAATCCCAAGGAATCTACAAAAACATTCCTATAAGTGTGGTTCAACAAAGTCATAGGATATAGCATAAACATATAAAAATAAATTATATTTCTATATACTAGCAATGAATGTATGGACACTGAAATTAATACCATAATCACTCAAAAAAGTGAAATAATTAGGTACAAATCTAACAAAACACATACAACATTTGTATGCTGAAGAGTACACAATGCTGATGAAAGAAAACAAAGATTTGGCTGGGTGTGGGGGCTCATGTTTATAATCCCAGCACTTCGGGAGACTGAAGCAGGAGGACTGCTTGAGCCTAGGAGTTGGAGAACAGCCTAGGCAACATGGCAAGACCCCATCTCTACAAAAAATAAAGTAAAAAATGTTAGCTCAGTGTTGTGCCATGCACCTTTAGTCCCAGCTACTTGAGAGGCAGAGTTGGGAAGATGGCTTGAGCCCAGGAGACTGAAGCTATGCCATAAGCCGTGTTCATGCCACCGCATTCCAGCCTGAGTGACAGAACAAGTCCCTAGTCCCTATCTCAAAAAAAAAAAGAAATCAGAGATTTTAAATAAATGGAGAAATACATTGTTTTCAAAGATTGGAAGGCGTTAATCCTTCCCAAATTGACATATGGGTTTATTAAAGTTCCTATCAAAATCTCAGCATGATCTTTCGTGGATATAGACAAAATTATTTTAACATTTGTATTGAAAAGCAAAGGAACCAGGGTAGCTGAAACAATTTTGAAAAAAACAAAGTAGGAGAAATCACTCTACCTGATTTTAAGACTTAATGTATAGCTACAGGTATTGGTGGAGGGATGGCTACACAGATTAGTGAAACAGAATAGGAAAAGAAATGAACCATGACCTAAACCTCACACCTTATACCAAAATTAACTAGAAAATGGATCACAACCTTATGTAAAATATAACGCTATAAAAATTTTAGAAAAAAAATAGGAGAAAATCAGGATCTATGGCTAGGCAGAGTTCTTATCACCAAAACCTCAACTCATAAAAGGAAAAACTGATACAGTGGACTTCATCAAAATTAAATACTTTGCTCCATAAAAGGCCATATGAAGAAGGTGAAAAGACAAGCTACAGAGTGGCAAAAAATGTCTCCAAACCACATACCTGACAACGGACTAGTATCTAGAATATACAGAGAACTCTCAAACCTCTACAGTAAAGAAGAACAAACAATCCAATTAGAAAATGGGGCAAAAGTCACAGATATTTCACTAAAGAGGATATAAGGGTGGCAAATAAGCATATGAGAAAATGCTCAACATCATTAACAACTGGGGAAATGACAATTAAAACCACAATGAGATATCACTACACACTTATCAGAATGGCTAAAACAAAAAATAGTCAAAACACCAAATGCTCTTGAGGACATGGAGAAACTAGACCACTCAAACATTGCTAGTAGGATGGTACAACTACTCTGAAAACATTTTAGCGGTTTCTTTAAAAAAAAAAAACCTAAACATGCAACTACTATATGACCTACAATTGCATCCATTGTCACTTACTCCTTAAAAAATGAAAACTGTGTTCACACAAAAACCTGTACCCGAACGTTTATAGCAGCTTTACTGACAATAGGCAAAAACTGGAGACAATCTAGACATCCTTCCACAAGTGACAAAACAAACCGTGGAACAACCACACATTGGACTATTCCTCCACAGTAAAAAGGAGCAAGCTATTGGTACATACAACGACCTAGGTGAAGCTCCACAGAACCACACTAAGTGAGAAAAGCCAATCCCAAAGAGCCACATACTGTGTGATTCCATTTCTACATTTTTGAAATGATGAAATAAATAGAAATGAAAAACAGCTTAAGGTGTGCCTGCAGTTAAGGAAGAGGTTGGTGGGAGAGGCAGGTGAGTTTGGCTCTAGGAGGGCAGCATGAGGGGTCCCTGTGGTGATGGGAATATTCTTCTACTGACAGGATCGATGTCAGTATTCTGGTTGTGATGTTGCACGACAGTTTCACAAGATGTTACCATTAGGGGACACTGGTGAAGGGCATAATGCAGGACCTCTCCCTGTTACTTCTTACAACACTGTGTGAATCTACAAAGTTATAATTTTAAGGGTCTAAACCTCTCTTAAAGCTACATAAAGTCATTGTGAGATGTATTACTTTTCTTCCTATCATTTGAAAATGCTACATGAGAAGACCCTTGCACAGTTGAGTTTGACTGACTTGGTAGAGATGACTGTCTGAAGAGAGTGGGAGTACACACATACATCTTGGTCCCATATTTCATATATTCATTTACAACTTAAACACAAACTACTTCCCCAAGAGGACAAGAGCTTCTACCTTGGCGCCATATAAATCCGAGTTCTTCATTAGAAACTCTGCTGATGTCCGCACTGTGACTCCGGTCGTCTCACACTGCAGCACACAGTTTTCCAGCGTAGTCTTACCACGGTGAACAACTGGGATGAAAATACACGCTGACTGTTTTAAGAAGTAATGTGCCTTTTCCAATGTTAGAGATAGCCTCGCGCTGACATTAGCTATGGTCTAAATATTTCTCAATGGCTATCATTTAAATTTTCTTACCTAAATTACAAATTCATAAAATATAAAACAATGACTATTTTGAGTTATTTTCTACAATCTAAAAGCAACATTCTTTAAAAAGAATGACTTGACCTCAGATACAAAAGCACTTTCCATTACCAGAAAAAAAAAGCATCAGAGAGCAATTTTGCTGAGTATCTCGGAAGAAAAAGACTTTGATTCAAGAAAGGGGATACAAAGATTCCAGGAAACAAACATTACTCCCATGTGGAGATAACTTCAGTCTAGTGCTACCTTGAATACAGAGAAAACAGACCACAACACTGGAAAGTTTTAAAAGAAAAAAATCACCACACAGAAAAGAAACTAATATTAAACAACAAATTATCATGAATAGGCTATTTTTTACTGAAGGGTTAAGATTGCTAAGTCATCACACTATGTACATAAAAAAATAATTTTCTAGGCCGCATGCGGTAGCTCACACCTGTAATCCTAGCACTTTGGGAGGCCGAGGGGGGCAGAACACCCAAGGTCAGGAGTTCAAGACCAACCTGGCCAACATGGTGAAAACCCGTCTCTACTAAAAAACACAAAAATTAGCCGAGCGTGGTGGTGGGCACCTGTAATCCCAGCTACTTGGGAGGTTGAGGCAGGAGAATTGCTTGAACCCAAAAGGCGGAGCTTGCAGTGAGCAGAGATCACACCACTGCACTCCAGCCTGGGTGACAGAGTGAGACCTCTGCCTCTTGGTTTCAAGTGATTCTCCTGCCTCAGCCTCCTGAGTAGCTGGGATTACAGGCGCCTGCCACCACACCCAGCTAATTTTTGTATTTTTTAGTAGAGACAGGGTTTCATCATGTTGGCCAGGCTAGTCTCGAACTCCTGACCTCAGGTGATTCACCCGCCTCAGCCTCCCAAAGTGTTGGGATTACAGGCATAAGCCACTGCGCCCAGCCTAAATGAGTAAACTTTTTTTTTTTTTTGGAGACGGAGCCTTGCTCTGTTGCCTGGGCTGGAGTGCAGTGGTGCGATCTTGGCTCACTGCAACCTCTGCTTCCCAGGTTCAAGGAATTCTCCTGCTTCAGCCTCCAGAGTAGATGGCATCATAGGCGTGTATCACCACACCTGGCTAGTTTTTGTATTTTTAGTAGAGACAGGGTTCCACCATGTTCGCCAGGCTGGTCTCAAACTCCTGACCTCAGGTGATCCACCCTCCTCGGCTGCCCAAAGTGCTGGGATTGCAGGCGTGAGCCACCACGCCCAGCTTCATAAATAATCAGTCTTCCATACACACTCATACTCCAGAGATATTGCAGGTTGAGTTCCAAACCACCACAATAAAGGAAATATCACAATTAAAGTGAGTCACACAATTTTTTTGGTTTCCCAGTGCATACAAATGTTTATGGGAGTCTGGGGTGGGTGGATCACTTAAGGCCAGGAGTCTGAGACCAGCCTGGGCAACATCGTGAAACCCCATCTCTAAAAAATACAAAAATTAGCAAGACGTGATGGCACACGCCTGTAGTCCCAGCTACTTGGGGGGCAAAGGCAGAATTGCTTGAGCCCAGGAGTTTGAGGCTACAGAGAGCTATGATCATGCTATTGCACTCTAGCCTAGATGACAGTGAGACTGTCTCTAAAAACAAAAAAAAATAAAAGTTGTGTTTATACTAATGAGCATATGAGTTTATACTAATGAGTACTATGTTTATAATGCATCTATTAAGTGTACAAAGGCATTATGTTTTTTAACAATATATACATCTTAATTTAAGATACTTTGTTTTGCTAAAACATGCTAACAATCCTCTGAGCCTTCAGCAAGACATAATCTTTTTGCTGGTGGAGGGTCTTACCTCAATGTTGATGGCTGCTTACTGATCAGAATGGTGTTTGCTGAAGGTTAAGGTGGCTATGGCAATTTTTAAAAATAAGACAACAATGAAGTTTGCCACATTGATTGACTCTTCCTTTCATGAAAGGATTTCTCTGTAGCATGTGATCTTGTTTGATAGCACTTTACACACAGTAGAAGGTTTTTCAAAATTGGAGTCAATCCCATCAAAGTCTGCCTCTGCTTTACCAAGTTTACCTAATACTCTAAATCATTTGTTGTCATTCAACCATGTTCACAGCATCCTCCCCAGGAAATTCTATCTCAGGAAACCACCTTCTTCGCTCATCCATAAGAAGCAATTCCTCATCTGTTCCAATTTTGTTATAAGATTGTAGCAATTCAGTCACGTCTTGAGGTTCTACTTGCTATCATCAGGCTCTAGTTCTCTTGCTATTTCCACCACATCTGCAGTTACTTCCTCCATTCAAGTCTTGAACCCCTCAATCATCCATGAGGGCTGGAATCAACTTCTCCAGAACCCCTGTTAATGTTGAGATTTTAACCTCCTCCCATGAATCACAAATGTTCTTAATGACATCTAGAATGATGACTCCTTCCCAGAAACTTTTCAATTGACTTTGCCCAGACCCATCGGAGGAATCACTATCAATAGCTGGTATAGCCTTAGGAAGTGTATTTCTCAAATAGTAAGATTTGAAAGTCGAAATTACTCCTTGATCCATGGGCTGCAGAATGGATATTATTAGCAGGCATGAAAACAACATTAATCTCCCAGTACACCTCCATCATAGCTCTCAGATGACCAGGTACATTGTCAATAAGCAATCATATTTTTAAAGGAATTTTTTTTTTCAGTAGTAAATCTCAATAATGGGCCTAAAATATTCAGTAAACCACATTATAAACAGATGTGCTACCATTCAGGCTTTGTTGTTCCATTTCTAGGGCACAGGCAGAGTAGATCTGGCATAATTCTTAAGGGCTCTAGGATTTTCAGAATGGTAAATGAGCACTGGCTTCAACTTAAAGTCACCAGTTACATTCACTCATAACAAGAGAGTCAGCCTGTCCTTTGAAGCTGTGAAGCCAAGCACTGACTTCTCCTCTCTAACTATGAAAAGTACTAGATGGAATCTTCTTCCAATAGAAGGTTATTTCATCTACACTGAAAATGTGTTGTTTAGTGTATCCACCTTCATCGATTACCTTAGCTAGATCTTCTGGTTAACTTTCTGTAGCTTGCATCAGCACTTGCTGCTTCACCTTGCACTTTTATGTTACAGAAATGGCTGCTTTCCTTAAACCTCATGAACCAACAGCTGCTAGTTTCAAACTCTTCTTCTACAGCTTCCTCACCTCCTTCAGTCTTCACAGAATTGAAGGAAGTTAGGGTTCTGCTCTGCAATACGCTCTGATTTAAGGAATGTGGTGGCTGATTTGATCTTCCATCCAGACTACAGAAACTTTCTCCATATTAGCAATAAGACTGTTTCACTTTCTTATCATTCATGTGTTCACTAGAGTAGTGCTTTTAATTTCCTTTATGAACTTTTCCTTTACATTCAAAACTTCACCAACTGACACAAGAGACCTAGGTGTCAGCCTATCTCAGCTTTCGACATGCCTTCCTCACTATGTTAAACATTTCTAATTTTTAAATTTAACATGAGAGACATGTGACTCTTCCTTTCACTTGAACACATAGATGCCATTGTAGGGTTATTAACTGGCCTAATTTCAATATTGCTGTGTCTCAAGGAATAGGGTAGCCCAAAGAGAAGGAGAGAGATAGGGGAATGGCTGATCGGTGGAACAGTCAAAACCCACACAATTATCAGTTAAGTTCACCATCTTTTATGGATGTGGTTCATGGCACCCCAAAACAATTACAGTAGTAACATCAAGATCACTGTTCACAGATCAGCATATTATCTATATTGTGAGAGTTACCAAAATGTGACACAGAAACACAAGGTGAGCATATGCTCTTGGGAAAATGGTGCCGACAGACTGGCTTGAAACAGGGTTGCCACAACCTTCAATTTGTAAAAAAAAAAAAAAAAAAAAAAACTCAGCATCGTGAAGTGCAATAAAACAAGGTATGCCTGTACTCAAGAGTGGCATTTCATTAAATTCTATCTTCCATAGAGAGAACCGTTTACCTTCAAATCTTAGAACAAATGATATACCAAACATTCAGATACTTACTTAAGATTCCCTCTACAGCATCATGCTGAACAAATTTTATGCCTGAGATTTTAATATCAGCACCAGTGCAGTCCACAAAAGTGTCGCCTTTGCCCCTCTTTTCTATCACAATGTCATCTGGTAGGCCATATCCTAAGGAAGAGAGAGCAACAACACTCAAGATGGGTGAGGAAAAACATCTAAACGTGAACACTGTAGAACAAGTTTCTCTAGTTTAAATGACTGCAGATGATAATGAGACCAGTCAACCATGTTGCATTTAAATAAAATCTATCTCCCCACATATCCTGTTTAATTTAAATCAGGGTATCCAATTTTTAACAATAACAACTCTCTGACTAGTCCCGTATCAGGAAGACTACCCTATCAACTATCCCACATCAGCTCAGTACTAAATTCACTTTCAAAAGTGCTATAAAAAATAAATAATGTTCAAGACCAGCCTAGGCAACACAGTGAGATTCCATCTCTACAAAAACCAAAAAAATTAGTCAGGCATGGTGGCATGCACCAATTACTCACTACTCAAGGAGGCTAAGGTGGGAGGGTCACTTGATCCCAGAATTTTAAGGCTGCAGTAAGCTATGATCATGCCATTGCACTCCAGCCTTCATTCTGGGTGACAGAATGAGACCCCATCTCAAAAAATGATAATAATAATAATAAGGACTTACAGCTGAGTCAAAGAACTTTAAAGCACTCACCCTTAGAAGTTTGTTTCTAACTCTAACATTCTATGATTCTAATATAAATTACATTTGAATAAACCTAAACAGTTCTCAAGATGATCTAATTTTAATATTCTCTTAAACAGTTGGCTTAAAATCTGACAAACTGACTAGTTACAGTTACAGGAAAAAAACAGTCTACCTCATTAACAAATAAAAAGCATCAGATCAAGGCTGGGTACGGTGGCGCACGCCTGTAATCCCAGCACTTTGGGAGGCTGAGGCAGGTGGATCACTTGAGGTCAGGAGTTCAAGAGCAGCCTGGCCAACATACAGAAATCCTGCCTCTACTAAAAATATAAAAATTAGCCGAGTGTGGCATGTGCCTGTAATCCCAGCTTCTCAGGAGGCCGAGGTGGGAGAATTGCTTGAACCTGGGAGGCGGAGATTGCAGTGAGAGGAGATCGTGCCACTGCACTCCAGCCTGGGTGACAGTGACTCTGTCTCAAAAAAAAAGCATCAGATCTCAGTGAGGTGCAGTGGCTCACGCCTATAATCCTAGCACTTTGGGAGGCCAGGGCAGGTGGATCACTTGAGGTCAGGAGTTCGAGACCAGCCTGGCCAACATGGAGAAACCCTGTCTCTACTAAAACTACAAAAATTAGCCAGGCATGGTGGCAGGCACCAGTAATCCCAGCAACTCAGGAGGCTGAGCCAGGAGAATCGCTTGAACCCAGGAGACAGAGGCTGCAGTGAACTGAGATCACACCACTGCACTCCAGCCTGGGCGACAGAGCAAGACTCCACCTCAAAAAAACAAAAACAAAAAAACCATCAGATCTGTATAAATCTTACTCAAACCATTAATGCAAGCCAAACACCTGAGTGGGCTTACAAAAAACTAGAGTATCAGAAAACTAAAGAATTCGCTTGACTTCCATTATAAAACAGAACCACATAGACAAAGCTGTAAGAAATAACTCTCATTGACTAAAGACGAATCTTTGAGTAAATGAAAGCAGTAACTGTTTTTAACAAGCAAAGCCGCTCAATGTATCTACACTGGAAGAGGACAAACAAGGCTTTGGGGGCCCTAGAGAATGCAAGGGGACTCCACACACTGGAATGCTACCAGGGGTGGACTCTGGATGCCTGAATTATGAGTGATTTTGTTTCTGATTGTTGTATGTATCTGACTGTACTTGGCATATTTTCTACAATAACCATTGCTTTTTATCATCAGAAAAATTAAAAGTACAAAAAGAATTGCATATTGAGAAAAGATTTTTACACAAATTTTTATATAATTATGTATTTCTTTCCACTTAAAACATAAAACCATTACCTAAATGAATGGATTTTCAAAACAAGAAAGAAAAACCCTATTGTAAGTACTATTGACACCCTGCACATAGTAGGTACTCAATATATATCTCTTGTTATATTGGTTAGCTATAGATCACTATCAGATGAGCTTGAATCTTACTCATGAACACTCCATATATGCACACTAGAGATACCTTGTGATTCCCCAATTCTCAGACCCATACTGTTAGTCAATATACAGCCATTTTTATACTTAACTATCAGCATTCTATATGTCCATTTATGACACTCTGGCAATTACATTAAAATTTCCTCACCAATCTAGGAAGAACTCTTATCTACCATACAAACTATAATATCAGTGTTATTTCCACTATGCCAAAAAATAAAGTGTTTTTATCACAGTGATTTATCTTGCAGATGTGTTATTTATATACACACATCTATTATACATCAAAAATTGGAGAGTAGAAAAGAACAAAAATTACACACATAAAATAAAAAAGGGGGTGAGATGATGTACTAGGAACAGGAGAAAACTAAACTTCCAGCTTCAGTTCCATTTAGAAGTACTGACAAGATAAAGAGCATAGCTTAAGCAGTTTCTGAACAGCTGCACAAGTCCCAAAATGATATATGATTTTTTGCATTACAAGCTTCACTGCTAACTTGAAGCTATTTTGATAAATAGTTGAACAGGTGTAACTAAATTTGACATGTTATGAAAATATACAGGACCAAGATGAACAATTGTAAAGTAACCTAAATTTAGAAATCACTCTAAATGAACAATAAGATTATAACTGTGAAAAAGTTATTTTTTTTAGACAGAGTCTTGCTCTGTCACCCAGGCTGAAGCATAGTAGTATGATCTTGGCTCATTGCAACCTCCACCTCCCAGGTTCAAGCGATTGTTCTGCCTCAGCCTCCCAAGTAGCTGGGATTACAGGCGTGCAACAACATGCCCGGCTAATTTTTGTATTTTTAGTACCGACGGGGTTTCACCATGTTAGCCAGACTGGTCTCAAACTCCTGGCCTCAAGTGATCTGCCCACCTCGGCCTCCCAAAGTGCTGGGATTACAGGCGTAAGCCACCACACCCAGCCCAAAAAGTTATTTTTAATAGAATCTTTCAACATTAATCTTTTCTAAAGTATACTTTGGTCAAGACACAAAGTGTAGCATTTGTGACATTCGGCAAGCATTTAGAGAATTAAGATAATTGGTACCAATTTCAAGTTAAATGCCCTTCATTATACCTCTCACGAAAATAAGCTAAGTGTGAAACAAAAAACAAAAAGCCATGCACTAACATATCTGCAACATCTATGAGATAAGAGCAAGCAACAAATTTTTAAAATACTAAAATTTTTAAAAATATTGCTAGGAATTTTTTTTTAATTCTAGAAATTAGATTTCCTTTCCATAAACCACCTACAATCTGGAAAGTATGCTTCTTCCTAATGGTCTTTTTTCTATATGAGCCTGTGAACATCTCCCCAACATACACACTGCTACAAAGAACCACAACTCAAATTGCTGAAACACTGGGTCAACCTCTTTTCAGCTTTCCATGTCCTTAATGTTTCAAGGCAGCTCACTAGAAATCAAATGGGTTCAAATCACATTCTTGGAGTTTCAACAAGATTGGTGATTTATTGTTTACTTAAACATATCACGTGTGAGAGTTTGGTTGTGTGTCTTCCATACTCACCTTCCAACTCAATGGAGTCAGCAATGGAGAAAGTGCCATGTACCACATAATGGCCAGGACAAACAATAACAGTGTCACCTTCGAAGCAGGCATTTATAGCAGACAATGGATCACTATGGAACTAGAAAACAATAAGAACACATTTGTAAATATACACTCCCAAAAAAGTAATTTGAGTATTACTCTAGGTGACTTCATGTCTTACTTTGAAAATGGAAGCCAAAAACTGCATATTGAAGCATCTCCTTTGATAGCGCACTGACCTAACACATGCCTGGTAAGTGACTACTGCTGATGAAAGGCAGGGCTCTCACTACTTCCCATGCACAGAAAACCGTCTTGGGAAAGCTCCTGTAAATACTTTGTGGGATTTGTGAAAACCTGTGGTGAATCAGAAGGAAAAAAAGCCACCTGGAGTGAGAAACTCTCCGTTTACCTGAATTTCTCTTTCTTCCTCACCAGGCTCCTGGCAAAGCCTGTCCGTAAGCAGGGACCGCAGGAGACCAGCCATCATGGTGGAGGAGACCACATGAGTGATCTTCTGACCGCTGGAACGGACACCCTTTGCTTGGATGTTAGAATTCTTCTGATAACCAAACACATACCTTAAAGAAACGAAACAGGCCTATCAGTAAGACAGCAAGTAAGAAAAGATGCTGACTAACTAAGAATTACAAAGACACACATACCTCAACAAAGGATTCTCAATGAGTTTCAGCTTTTGTTTCAACTGTTCCATCTCCGAATACAATTTTAACCCTTCCACCATGGAGATATTTTCCTGCTCGGAATCAGAGTTACAATTTGACAAACTGCTTCTCAGATTTAAAAATTTCCTGTAACTCTCCTCACATTGAGACAACAGATTGTGGTAGTCAACAATAAGTCCTGATGGAACTCGGTCTTCAAGAATGTCATAATGCCTGAAAGTTTAAAAGCAAAGTGAAATCCACTGCCTTTCAGGCACATTTTCCTATCATTAAAACAGCCCACTTAGCCCTCAAAGACCCAGTAAGAGTTTTACAGTATATAACTCAGGTGCATGTTAAGTCTTTCTGAATAGCACTGTAATAATAATAATAATAAGTGGAAGCTGTTGAAAATTTAAAGCACCACTTCCTTAAGGTCACTAATTTTTCTGCTCTTGAGGAGTTTTTACTTTCTTTCTTGGATCCAAGCATTTGTGCTTTAGAAACACTGAAAGTTCAGGTTACACAATTTTATTATTTAATAAGAAATTATTTTCTTCTCATATATTAGATTCAAAAGCTTAATAAGAAGGTGGCAGGGGGCAATTTGGGAGTAGGGGTAGGGAGAGCAGTTTCTCAAATTGTTTCACAACAATGTTTAAGATTACTATATTTTTCATGGATCTGAATACGACTTTAAAAATTTTTTTAAGGTTATCATATTTATAGGATCAAAAAGTAGAAATGACTCAAACAATCTAGTCCCTCCTTCCATTTAAAGCACTATGGCACAAAATTATGCTGAATATTCCCTAAGGAAGATTATTAAAGAATTTCAAAAAATAAGCCCTTGAGATTCCGAGGGGGAAAAAAAGGTGCCATTACTAATCTAGAGAGTGACTGAAACAAAATGACCTTGTACTGGACAACCATACTGGCACTTCAAATGTATTAATTTATAAACTTTCTCAAATATAAAAACAGAATACAGAGTATTTCTAGATGCAATAAAATAATTTGTAAATGCACAATCAAGTTAACAGATATAAAATTAATGGGTTTAAAAATAAAGTAAAATAGGCCAGGCACAGTGGCTCACACCTGTAATCCCAGCACTTTGGGAGGCCAAGGCAGGCAGATCACTTGAGCCCAGGAGTTTGAGGCCAGCCTGGGCAACATGGCAAAACCCTGTCACTACAAAAATACAAAAATGAGCCTGGTGTGATGGCATGCACTTGTAGTCTCAGCTACTTGGGAGGCTGAGGTGGGAGGATGGCTTGAGCCCCAGGGGTCAAGGCTGCTGTGAGATCTAATTATGCCACTGTACTCCGTACTCCAGCCTGGGCAACAGAGCAAGACCCTGTCTCAAAAAACAAACAAACAAACAAACAGATGCTCAGGGCCCCATCCAGACCAATTAAATGGGTCTCTGGACATACAAGGGTATTTTTTTAAGTTCCCTGGGGATGCTAATGTGTAGCCAAGAGTGAGAACGATTGCCTTAAATGATGTTGTTTTTTTTTAATTTAGTCATGCTCTAAATAAGATAGGGAAAAACAAATGCAAGATAGAACCATATCTTAAACAAATTTACATCAGACTATGAACACTTAAACATTTTGAATGAATAAAAAAGAAACTTTTCCCGCTTTTCAAGTAAGTGAATTAGGTGAAGCTTGAAAAGCAAGGATTTTGTCTACTTTGGTTAATCCGAAAGAAACTGAGTGAACAGCTGTGAAAAAAAAAGGGAAAAACAAAAAAATTTAAAAATTTTAAAAATAAAAAAAAGAAATTGAGGATGAAACCATGTTCTACTAAGTTGTGAAGATTAAGACTCAAATTTTAAAATAAGTCTCTTAGCACTTCCAGTATCCATGCCCGTTAGCTTATTTCTTTTCATTTCTTTTCATTATATTGATACTTCATAGTCTAAAAGCAATGAAGTAACATTTGTGTCACAGATCCCGAAGTTCTGAAGCAGTGTTGGTTTTTTTCAGACCTCCTTTAGTCACATATAAGCAGTGTGTTTTGAAGCAGAAAGGAAAAATTTACTGCACAGTACAAAATCCAGACACTCTGGTTTGATCTTGCCTGTTGATAGCCCCACTCCTATCTTAGCCCAGAGACCTTTTTTAAGTCTGCCTACATTTGATAACATTCCAGTCTCTCCATCAAGTACCACCGTGTCTTCTGCAAAACTACACACGATTCCTCCCTTATGCCATCCCATCTGCCAGTGATGTACAAGCTATGCATGTAAGTCATTGCTTGTCGTTAGCACATGCAAGGCTATCAAATCAGAATACAATTTTTTTCCAAGTAAAGATTGAATTTGTCCGATATACGTTATGTTCCCTTATCATATTTCATGTCAATCAAAATCAATCATTTCTTTTTAAGAGCAAAGGTATCAAACCTAGAAAATACTCAAGCTTATTGAAATTTTGGGATTTTATTGAATATGCTATGGAAAAATAGGAAATGCACAATGGAAAAACTGGAAAGCCTAAATAGAAATCATAGCCCATTTACGAAGAGCTAAAATCACACATACATAATTCTAAACCAGGTAGAACTATTAATCAGACTTTCAAACTTTTTTTTTTTTTTTGAGACAAAGTCTTGCTCTGTCACCTAGGCTGGAGTGCAGTGGTTCAATCACAGCTCATTGCAGCTTCAAACTCCTGGACTCAAGCAATCTTCCTGCCTCAGCCTCCCCAGCAGCTGGGACTAGAGGCATGCCCTAACACACCCAGCTAATTTTTTTTTTTAGGTTTCGTAGAGGTGGGGTCTCACTATGTTGCCCAGGCTGGTCTCAAACTCCTAAGGTCAAGAGGTCTTCCCGGGCTGGGCACGGTGGCGCAGTCCTGTAATCCCAGCACTTTGGGAGGCGGAGGCAGGCAAATCACTTGAGGTCAGGAGTTCGAGACCAGCCTGGCCAACATGGTGAAACCCTGTCTCTACTAAAAATACAAAAATTAGCTCGGTGTGGTGGCATGCACCTGTATTCACAGCTAGTCAGGAGGCTGAGGTGGGAGGGACACTTGAGCCCAGGAGATTGAGGCTGCAGTGAGTGACATCACACTGCTGCACTCCAGCCTGGGCAACAGAGTGAGAGCTTGTCTCAAAAAAGTTGTCTTCCTCCTTCAGCCTCCCAAATTACTGGGATTACAGGTGTGAGTCACCATGCCGGGCCTCACACATTTTTTATTTTATTATTATTTACTATTTAAGCCAAGAGAAACTCACTAAATCGACTTGAGTTCCACAAAAATGTAAAGGCTTACTGCCTTATCTTCTCATCTCATCTTTCACACAGGGGAAAAAAATCATCTTTCAAACGGGGGGAAAAAAATCATCTTTCACCCAGGGAAAAAATTACCTTCTACAATTATTTTTTTGGAGTGCAATTTATAATTTTATTATTATTGCAGCATTGCCTATGAAGTTACTGCTTATGAATACAAGAAAAAATTACTGGTCTTAAAGCACCATCTAGTGGGGAGATAAATGCCACATTTAATAAGGTCATTAAGATTTAAGGCAGGAGGCTGACAAAATATCCTAAGGTAGATCTGCTAGTTCAGCCTGCTGTGTTTCACTGCAGAAACTTAGAGTAAAGCCATATACCTTTAAAGTATTCTTTACAAAATTAAAGCCAAAAAGTCTTCTATAATTCAAATAATGTCACTGTTTTTCAAACAATCGAATTTAACAAAGGGCTTCTTAACCCACTAGTTCAATGTTCAATTGAATTTTATTCAAATTAACAAAACAGTGAGCTACTAATTTAGATGTTCTTGAACTTCCTGCTTTTAGACTCAATTTATAAACACTAAAAGCAAGTTTCTCTGCACTTGTACAAGTTTCATTTAATGACTTGTCAAGGGGTGGTACAATTTGTACATCAGTTTATTTCTGTCTATGAGATCCTGGAAAGAAAATCAGAGAGAGAGAGTGAGTGAGTGAGTGTGGGTGTGTGTGTGTGTGTGTATCTCACACAGGCAAAATTAAACCATGGGTAACTATTTTTCCAACATGTACAACAAGGTCAGCAATAAATACTTACAATCTTAATCGAGGTTCAACACATCTGACAAAATAATCGTATTCATCCTCCTCTTCTTCATCCCAACTCCTCCAAATGTTTTGGTAGAAAAATCTGAAATGGAACTTAGTATCATTCAAATTCTATCACTGGCTCAAAACATTAGGATTTTGGAGGGGTGAGAGCTAAAGAGTAAATCAAAACAATTCTCATATCTTAGAGAATGCTGCATATTTGCTATGGTTGATAGTCATGAGTCACACAACATAGAGACCTTTTTTGGATCAGCTAAAGAAGAGAAGTTTCTCCACACTGGTTTTGTTAGGACTTTTTTTTTTTTTTTTTTGAGACACAGTCTCACTCTGTCTCTGGGGCTGGAGTGCAATGGCGTGATCTTGGCTCACTGCAACCTCCGCCTCCTGGGTTCAAGTGATTCTCCTGCCTCAGCCTCCCGAGTAGCTGAGATGGCACCCACCACCACACCCAGCTAATTTTTTGTATTTTTAGTAGAGATGGGGATTCACCATGTTGGCCAGGCTGGTCTCAAACTCCTGACCTCATGATTCACCCGCCTCGGACTCCCAAAGTGCTGGGATTACAGGCATGAGCCACCGCGCCCAGCCAGGACTTTCTTTTTATTGGAAGAATTATTTATTGACCACCAGTACCTGGCTGGATGGTAGTGCCATTTGTTGAGACAAAAAACACTGAGAGAGAAACAGGTTTGGGATTGAAAATAACAGAGGAATATACAGCCCAAAGCTCCAGGGAAAGGTCAGGGCTGGAAACATAAACCTGGTAGCTATCAACACATTGATGGTGTTAAAGCAATGTATAAGATCACGTAAGGACATAATCATAAGGCAGTGGTTCTCAACCCTCATTGTACATTGGAGTTCCCTGGGACACTTTTAAAAATTGATTCCCCTGCAATTCCAGCTACTCAAGAAGCCAAGGCACAAGAATCGCTTGAACTGGGAGGCCGGGGCTGCAGTGAAGCGAGATCGCACCACTGCACTCCAGCCTGGGCAACACAGTGAGATTCTTTCTCAAAATAAATAAATTTAAAAACAAGAACAATTAGTTCCCTCTCCCAGACCAAGCAATCAGAATCTGGTGGGGTGGGGAAGGTGCAAGGGAATCATCAGCATCCACACTTTTCTTTTCTTTTTTTTTTTTTTTTTTTTTTTTTTGAGATGGAGTCTCGCTCTTGTGGCCCAGGCTGGAGTGCAGTGGCGCCATCTTGGCTCACTGCAACCTCTGCCTCCTGGGTTCGAGCAATTCTCCTGCCTCAGCCTCCTGAGCAGCTGGGATTACAGGCAACCGCCACCACGCCTGGCTTATTTTTGTACTTTTAGTAGAGAGGCATTTTGCCATGTTGGCCAGGCTGGTCTTGAACTCCTGACCTTAGGTGATCCCCCCTGCCTCGGTCTCCCAAAGTGCTGGGATTACAGGCATGAGCCACCGTGCCCAGTTGTATCCATATTTTTTTAAAGCTCTCCAAGTGATTTAACAAATTTATTATGGAAAATCCTAAACATATACAACAACAGAGAAAATAGTATGATGAATACCATGTATCATGAGGCAGCTTCAACAATTACCAACTCACAGTCTTATTTCATCTCTGCCTCACCCAGGCACCCTCTGCTCTCCTCCCCCACCATCTTGATATTGGATTTTTTTTTTTTTCAGATGGAGTTTTGCTCTTGTTGCCCAGGCTGGAGTGCAACGGTGCGATCTCGTCTCACTGGAACCTCCAGCTCCTGGGTTCAAGTAATTCTCCTGCCTCAGCCTCCCTAGTAGCTCAGATTACAGGCACCCGCCACCACGCCCAGCTAATTTTTTGTATTTTTCGTAGAGATAGGGTTTCACTATGTTGGCCAGGCTGGTCTCAAACTGACCTCAGGCAACCCACCCACTTCAGTCTCCCAAATATACTGGATTATTTTGAACCAATCTCACACACATCAAATCATTCACAAATTTTTAGTATGTATCTCTAAAATAAATCTTTATACCAAAAGTTTTAATTCCTTAATATTACCAAATATCCAGTGTTCAAATTCCCCTAATTGTCTCCTGCTGCTCTTTCACAGTTGACTTGTTCCAATCAGGCACCAAATGAGGGTCCGCTTCTGCCCTTTGACTGACACATTTCTTAAATCGCTGTTAGCCTACACATTACCTCTCCCTCTTTTTTCCCTTGCAATTTATTGACTAATTTCCCCCACTCTAAATTTTGGTGATTACATCCCCATGGGGTCAATTTTTTTTTTTTTTTTTTTTTTTTTTTTTGAGACAGTGTGGTGCTCTGTTGCCCAGGATGGAGTGCAGTAGTAGCATGACCTCGGCTCACTGCAGCCTCCGCCTCCTGGGTTCAAGCGATTCTCCTGCCTCAGCCTCCCGAGTAGCTGGGATTACAGGCACGCGCTACCACGCCCTGCTATTTTTTGTATTTTCAGTAGAGATGGGGTTTCGCCATGTTGTCTAGGCTGGTCTCGAACTCCTGGGCTAAAATGATCCGCCCACCTTGGCCTCCCAGAGTGCTACAATTACAGGTGCACCCAGTCCCCATGGGTCATTTAACATGTACTTTATGTTATTTCTAGTAAACTGACAGTAAGATCTACAGACCTGCAGGCCTTCAGGAAGGATTTTTTGCAAGAATACTTCAAGGGAGGTGTAATGTACTTCAGTCAAGAAGCAGGAAGAGCAGAGCCTCATTCCTGGCCAAAGCCACTGTCTGTGTGGAGTATGTACATTTTTCCCATGTCCGCATGGGTTTTCTCCAGGTACTCTGATTTCCTCCCACATCCCAAAGATGCGCACATGAGGTGAATTCTGTGTCTACCTTGTCCCAGTCTGAGTGTGGGTGTGTGAGTGCACTCTGTGATGAAATGGGCTCCTGTCCACAGCTGGTTCCTGCCTTGCACCCTGAACTACGGGAATAGGCTTTGGCCACCTGCAACCCTGAACTGGAATAAGCAGGTTGGAAAGTGAATGAATACAAATTACTGTCAAACAAAAATTCATAAAGTATACAATAATCATACAAATGCACAACAATGAATGCTGTGGCATGAAATCGCTCAGTGAGCCCACTATGTTTGTCATTGTTTTGAAGTGGGTGATGGCAGGAGGTGCTCCTTATAATTTCCGCTTTGCAAACATTTATTCCTTGATTTACTCGTCACCACAATGACCACTGTCACTCACTGTTTCACCAAAAATTGGAAATTGGGTCAATAATTATCTTGTTTGCATTAATATTTCTTAATGTATATATAGTTCACATTTATTTCAATGTTTAAGATTAGAATTGTTTGGGGTCTTTATTTAGAAGTTTGATGATGTTTTCATGACCAGAAATATGCTGTAGAAACTTTAACTTTTGTTTATATCAGTCAGCCTATGGTAAAATTGGTTTCATTAACATCACAGTTTCTAAGAACCTACCAACAACAGTAACTGAGGACTTTATTACAATGCCTGGCCATGTCTTTTTGTGAGGTTCAGATTGATCAACAGATACAGGTTGTCAACCTGATCCACCCTCTATAAAGTTCTCTTTCCCTAATGGTTGCAGCAGTCATCGATGTTCACTGTCTAGAACCTTTATTTCATTAGTGGTTACAAAATACTGATATTCTATCACTTTCTTCATGTATTGGTTGGAATACTTTTATAAAGAAATTCCTCAGGTGATTCCAAAGTGGTTCCAAGGTTGATTAGGGAAAAAACAGTAGATGGCCTAGGACTGATCCCTGGGTAACTCTGACATTCTAAAGTTTGAGCATGAGAGGAAAAGCTGGCCAAGATGACTGAGAAAGCAAGCCAGTAAGACACCAGCTGAACAGTGGTGTCCCAGAAGCTGAGAGGAGAGGGTGTGAAGAAGATGGGAATGATCAAATACCTAGAATGTCAAGACGTTAAGCAAGATGAGATCAGAGGCAGGATGAGATCAGTGAAACGTTGACTGAATACAAGAACATGGAAGTCTTTGAGCATAATTTCAGAGATGAGGTCAGGGTAGAAGAGTTACTGAGACACCAGGAAGTATAGACTGTGATTATATATAACTCTTTCAAGAAGTTCTGCTGTGAAAAGGAAGCACTGAAAATGAAACCAGCCATCTCCTAATTATTGTAGATTGGGCTGTTAGTCCCTTCACCCTCTAGTGGAGTCTTTTGTTGTTGTTGTTGTTGTTGTTGTAATGAACTTAAGCATGCCTCTACTCGATTGAAAAAACCTCTGCTGGCTCCCTTTTAGCCCTCAAAAAGAAGTCCTGAACGTGGTACTATAAATAGATTCATAATCTGGCCCTATTGCGCCTCTCCTGCCTCAGAGCCGTTGTACCTAAACTCTCAATTTCACAAGCTCTTTCAAACCTCCATGTAACTTGTTAGTCAAGCTGCCAGAAGTGCCTTCCACCTTTTCCACCTGGTAAGCTTATAGTTCTATTCCATGACTCGGCTCCAATATCATCCTCACCAGTACCATGCCAAGCATTTACACATCATTCCCTTCTGTACCTCCCGCAGTGTTGATTCTTTCAAGCCAGAAATGTGGAAGTCAGCCTTGACTTCTCTCACCTCACTTACATCTTCTCATCTCTGATATCCACTCGACCACCAAGTCCAGCCATTGTACTTTCTCAGTAAGCCTCCATCCGTCCTCTCTATATCCCCACTCTAGTCCTCTCTCTTGCGTCTTAACTGGTCTACCAATTCCATCTCCCACCATTTGTTTTCTACACAGAAGCCACAATGAACCCCTGAAAACACAAAGCAGCACTTTAGGGGACTGAGGTGGGAGGACTGCTTGAGCCCAGGAGTTCGAGACCAGCTTGGGCAACACAACGAGACCCCCATCTCTACAGAAAAATGTTGTTAAAAAACTAGCTGGCTAGTGGTGGCACATGCCTATAATCCCAGCTGATCCAGAGGCTGAGGCAAGAGGATGCCTTGAGCCCCACAGTTCGAGCCTGCATTGAATCACATGATTGCACCACTGTACTCCAGCCTAGGCAACAGAATAATACCGTGTTTCCAAAAAAACAAAAACACAAAACACAAAACTAGTCATATTCACCCAAGAATAAAAATCCTTCAGTGGCTTCCCACTGCTCTTAAAGACAAAAATGACTAACCAGCTAACAAATCCCCGCACTGTCTGGCCCCTGCCAGCCTCTCTAATCTCATTTCCTAGGTCTCTCTCAGCACTGTCTGTGTTCCAGCCATGCTGGCCTTTCAGCTCCTTAAACACACTGAGCTCCCAAATCTTTTCCCTTCCCCACCCCTGCCTCCCCTTTCACACAGCTAACCCAAGTTCAAATGTCATTATTCCAGTAAATAACCCTAGAACAGCAACTTGACCTAATTTTAGGACACTCTGTAATTCATCACAGCACTCACTGCTATTTCCAATCATGCAGACATCTGTGCGTGATTATTTCATCAAGGCTCATCTCCCACCTTTAGACTGACAGCTCCCTGATGATGGTGTGTCTCATGCACCAGACATACCCCATCCTTGACTAAGGACCTGGCACTCAAATATTCATTGAATCAACGAACAAATGAAATCCCTCATAATTTGACCTTCACTGGGCACTGATCCAAATCTCAGCCCTCCAAATGAAGTGTAAATTTAACCAGGCTCCTCCTCAAATAATACTACCAAATAACATTCCAGATACTTATTTTTCCACGAACTTCTATGCCCATAGAGATTAGCTCCCTGATTCCTAATTTCCTAAACTTATCAGTTATCACTTTATCTTCAAATGCTTCAATTGACAGATTTTTTTTAATGAGAAAAATAGAAGGGAGTTATTTTGGTTCTGGACAGAAACCGGTTCTTTAGATTCATTCTGCTTGGCCCAATACTGAACATCTAGGGTTAAATGTTCTTGCATACAATTAGAAACTGTCCGTAAGATGTTGGCAGCAGGGCCTGAAACACTCTGCTTCTTTGCAGAGCATTCGAGTTAAGCTCAGCAAAACCACGTTAACTCACTAATGGTATAGAAAATAGAAAGTACTTTTTATACTACAAAACACCAAGCAATGTTATTTACATTATGGTCATTATATATTGCTCAGTCTTCTAGTTCCTGAAGGAATATGGGTCTATTTTTAAATAGCTACAAGTAAGCCTTCTTTGGCGAAGATACAAAATAACTATCTATATCAGGAACTATCCAATAAAAGATTGATCTGAAAAATTGTTGAAATCATACCCACTGATCCAGGTATGGGCTTTCTTTCCCAAGGAAGGGACAAGGGGTCCACTTGTGCAGTGGAAATAACTATGGCAAAAAAGACTCACAGGCAGGAATACATCCCCTAAGGATCCTAGAAGCAGCCTAAGAAAACACTTGCTTTGACCAGACATATGCTTGAAAAAAATGTGTATTCGTCTTTTAGCAGTACACACACCATAGTATATAACCTTCTTCACTGTCTTTCTCTTCTTCTACTTTCTGTACTCTTGTATTGAAATATACCGACCATAAGCCTTAACATCCACAACTTTTAAGTCAGTTTATAAATATATACAAACCCAATTAAGAATCCCCTACTTTTGTTAACATTTGTGAAAACCAAGTAAAAGATAAACAGGAATTCTTTATACACTTGACCCTTGAAGAACACAGGTCTGAATTTTGTGGGGTCCACTGATAATTTACACTGAGTGTGCCAGCATCTCCTGCCTCCCTTTCCACCTCTCCTCCACCTGTTTTGCCTCTGCCGCCCCTGAGGCAGCAAGACCAATCCCTCTTCTTCCTCTTCCTCCTCTGGTGAAGATGATGAGGATAAAGACCTTTATGATGATCCACTTCCACTTAATGAGTAGTAAATACATTTTCTCTTCCTTATGAATTTCTTAACATTTCCTTTTTTCTAGCACTTTATTATAAGATAATACACATAACATAGAAAATATGTCCTAATCAACTATTTATGTTAATGGTAAGGCTTCTTTTCTGGTCAACAGTAAGTTATTAGTAGTTAAGTTTTGGGGGAGTCAAATGTTATACTCAGATTTTTGACTATGTAGGGGTGGGGGGAGATAGGCACCCCTAACCCCCACATCATTCAAGAGTCAACTATACTAGTTTTGTCAGCTTTTCTATAAGTTTGAAATTATCATAAAATGATTTAAAACATTTTTAGACCAGGTGCACGGTGGGTCACACCTGTAATCCCAGCACTTTGGGAGGCCAAGGCAGGTGGATCACCTGAGGTCAAGAGTTCGAGACTGACCTGGCCAACATAGTGAAACCTCATCTCTACTAAAAATACAAAAATTAGCAGGACATGGTGGTGCACACCTGTAATCCCAGCTACTCGAGAGGCTGAGGCAGGAGAATTGCTTGAACCCAGGAGGCGGAGGTTGCAGTGAGCCGAGATCATGCCACTGCACTCCAGCCTGGACAACAGAGCAAGACTATGTCTCAAAATTAAAAAATAAAAAAAAAGATTTAAAACATTTTTAATTTTTTTTAATTTAAAAAAGATTATCCTATCTTTGGATATTTTTAAATATTGCAATGACCAAGTTTACAGTTGAGTTTTAAATCTGGGTCTAACACAGACCAGAATTACTTCATTTCATCCAAAGTTTCTGGCCACAAGGTTATTTTTCTCAACTTCTTTTCCTACCTGACATGCTCAATTGCAAGGGCTGTCTGGTCAAACACTCCTGAATCATCAAACACCACCCACAGCTCCTGCAGGGGCAACCGATGCTCCTTCAGATCAAGGAGCTCCTTCATGCACTCCATGGTAAAAGTGCTCACTTGAGAGTCACAGAGGTATGGTTCAGCAAGCCTCACCACTGCCTTCAAGGCTGCAAAGTCCACATCTGTGATCTGAAATTTAAAATAATGTGACTTAACACATGGAAATCAAAATGAAGATACACCTATAAGACACTACTGACAACCTGATTTTTTTAAAAGCATACAACATGGGTGGGGAGGCTTTACCCATAATATAAAGGATGAACAAGACAGGCTGCCTCTTACCCTCATGGAGCTTACACTGTAATCAGGGAGATCAACAAACACAATGATAACCAGTAGGTGACAGAGAATAACTAGCAGGGGTGGGGATCTTGTTCTGCTGAGATGGGCAAGGAAGTCAGCTCTGAGCCAGGCTGAGGAGGATGAGAAGGAAGCGGCCATCTGAAGAGCTGGGAAAGCACAGAAGGCCTGTGGCAGAGACAGGCTTGGCAGCTGGAGGAGCGGAAAGGCAGTCCTTCTTGCTGGAGCCAAAGGGAGGAAATGGAGGAGGGGGGCGGTGTGCAGTGGAGCAGCAAGATATGAGGTGAGAAAGAGAGGCAACGAGACCAGGACATGAAGGACATCTGAAGGAGCTTGGATTTTAAGTGTTTTCTATACAATGAGAAGCCATAAAGCCAACACTAAGCCCTTGGTAAAGACAATATCTTAGGAGTTTTAAGCAGAGAAATGGCATGCTTCTGTTTTAAAACAATGACTTTCATTGTTTTCGGAGAACTGATTGGCGGGGGGGCACTTATCATAACCAAATGAATAGGCCTGAACTTCAACCAAAAAATATTAGCACAATCCAAAATTTTAAAACTCACAAGCAATAGCTGCAATCCACTGCCTTGTACATAATCACTGTAGTATGTGATGCCATTTTCTAAGGGAGCTGCAGCAACAACTTGTATTCACACTCCCTGGTTTGACATTTTAGTTTACTAGGGCTTTTTGTGGTCAGTTAACAAACACTGAGAAAAATTCAAAGCTGTAATTAGAATGCAAATGTAATCTAAAAGGCCTAGTGAGAAGAAGAATAAGACTGTTTTTACATTCTGCAATGGGACACACTGTCAAGAGATTAACCACATATAAACAAATTTGCTAGGCAAAAACTGGGCTAGTTTAAAAATGCCTCTTAGCAGAGGTTGCAGTGAGCCGAGATCGTCCCACTGCACTCCAGCCTGAGCAACACAGTGAGACTTCATCTTAAAAAAAATAAATAAATAAAAATGCCTCTTAGGTTTGAGCTGCTTAACGAATTACAATTAAGAAGTTAAACACTTTTTTGAAACCATTAACTTCATAATTAGGCCTAATTTTTTAAGTGATCTCAAATACCTTCTTTTAATTAATTTGAACCAGTTTAATTCCCTGGTAACAACTCCTCAGTTGCCTTTAAAATTTGCAGAACACTTCCTACAACATGGCAATTAGATGTGAAAAACATGCTATTTGAATCAGCTCATAAACTTTAATTAAAAATAAGCACTTTGGATATAACAGTCTGAAGTAAAGTGCTTAAAGCTAGAGACAAAGGTCTAATAACAAAATTAACCTTACCTCAACCAGCACCTTGAACACATTAGTGTGCCAGACTGCCCGCCATCCAGATGGCTCAAGGACCTTCTCCAAGAACTCAGCTGTGAATTCCTGTACCTCAGAGGCCTTGCAGTCAGCTACAAACAAATTAAACACAGGAAGAATTGAGAATGCATAAAGCAGAGGGAAGTTAATAAATCCACTTTCTCAGAAACAACTGGCAATCTGAGGGACTGAAATAGATAATCTACTTGCAAACTAAAAAGATAAAAGATGCAAAAAACCAGCCAGGCAGTGGCTCATGCCTATAATCCCAGCACTTTGGGAGGCCGAGGCAGGGGGATCACCTGAGGTCGGGAGTTCAAGACCAGCCTGACGAAAATGGAGAAACCCCGTCTCTAGTAAAAACACAAAATTATCTGGTGGTATGGCGCATGCCTGTAATCCCAGCTACTAGGGAGGCTGAGGCAGGAGAATCACCTGAACCTGGGAGGCGGAGGTTGCGGTGAGCCGAGATCGCACCATCGCACTCCAGCCTGGACAACAAGAGCGAAACTCCATCTCAAAAAAAAAAAGCAAAAAACCTACTCACCTAAAATGTAATCTTGATAGGCTCTGAATCGCTCATAGAACAAAAGTTGATTTGTTTGGAAAATTTCTGGGAAAAAGGTTTTTCCTTCTGGCATAAAACTTTGTAAACTAGAACCTGGTTTATCACGGTAGCTACAATCACTGCATGAATCTTCATCTTGGAACAAACCTAAAAAAAAAAAGCAAAAATAAGCAAGCTCCAGTGCCTTATTTGAATGCTTCTATTTTCATATCCTTGCATAGAAATCCCAAACAAAATACAAACAAGAATTTGAATATGAATAGTCTACTTACCTCTACCATTGTGAGAAGAAACTAGTTTTCCAAACTTAAAAATATTTCAAAATCCAAATTCTACTTCAAAACAATAAGCGCTTAAGATCTTTCACAGTTAGATTTTTGTTGTTGTTCTGTGAGGTTTTGGGGAGAAGTAGAAGGCTGTTTTTGTTTTTGTTTTAGAAACGGTCTCACTCTGTCACCTAGGCTGGAGTGCAGTGGTGCGATCATAGCTCACCGCAACCTCAAACTCCTGGACTCAAGCTACCCTCCTGTCTCAGCCTCCTGAGTAACTAGGACTACAGACATGCACCACCACATCCAGCTGGAAGACAGTTGATTTTTAATTCAGTGGAAATCACTCAAGATCTCCTACAAAGCATACAGCCTGTGATTTATACTACAGTTAGCCAGTGATAATAATCAAGTATCTTAGTTATTTATTTTCCAAAGCAATTCCATAAAGCTCCTTTAAGAAAGGGAGCTGACTTCCTCTCAGATGGGTTAAGCCCTCCCTTTATTTCCTACAATATCAGTCTGTCAATCGCCCCTCAATAAACAGGGACGAGAGTCTTAATAATCCATAAGGTTTACTTCAGTAAGGTTATTAGATTCCTCCTCACTAATTTCAATGACTGTGTCTAAGGAAAAGATCAGAAAATGCAAATCACATTAGGTTTGGGCTGTATATAATGTTTCATAAGGTATGATTCAGCCAGTGGCATATCTAATTCTATGTAATGTTTTTAATAAATGAAACAACTACTAAATAAGCAATGCTAAAAAGGGTAGCATTTAGAATGTAGAGTAGTCTCCAGAAGTGGTTTCAGGGAAGGTATCTGAGCTGTTAGCAGATACCTTTTTTCTCCCTCCCCCTTGATTTTCTCCTTCCCTTTCCCCCTTCCTTCCATTTCTTTGTCCCTGTTCAGGCCACCAGAAGTACTTGACCCACAGATGACCAAAGTGTACTCAAGGGTCTACTGCTCACAAACACTGATGCACATGAACCTTAGAAGGCATCAGTACCTTACTGGTTATGTGACAATGCCTCAGCTTCCTCACCTATAAAGGGAAGATAATAGTACATCCACTTCAATTAAGAAGATTAATTGTTAATAATTTACAACAGTGCCTATTACATAATGTATATGTTTGTTAAAGAAATAGTAGTACTTCAGCACCATTCTTTTTTTTTCCAGCACCATTCTTTATAGCTTTATGGAGGTATAATTAACATATAGAAGTTATATACATTTAAAGTGTATAACCTGATGGCCAGGCACGGTGGCTCACACCTGTAATCTCAGCACTTTGGGAGGCCGAGATGGGCGGATCACCTGAGGTTAGGAGCTCGACACCAGCCTGGCCAACAGGGTGAAACCCCGTCTCTACTAAAAATACAAAAATTAGCTGGGTGTGGTGGCGGGCGCCTATAATCCCAGCTACTTGGGAGGCTGAGGCAGGAGAATCATTTGAACCCGGGAGGCAGAGGTTGCAGTGAGCTGACATTGTGTGCCACTGCACTCCAGCCTGGGCAACAGAGTGAGACTCTGCCTCAAAAAAAATAAAATAAAATAAAAAATAAAGTGTGTAACATGATGTTTTGATATACCTATACATTATGAAATGATTACCACAGTAAAGTGAATTAATATTTCCATCACCTCGCATAGTTACCTTTTGTGTGTGTGTGGTGTGAACACTTATGATCTACTCTGTTAGCAAATTTCAAGTACAAAATTTGTGTCGCATTGCACCATCACGTCATTGCCTATTAATACTGTAATAATAATACAGTATTATTAACTATAGTCACCATGCTGTATGTACATCAGATCCCCAGAACTATTCACACTGCATAACTGAAACTTTGGACCCTTTGCCCAGCATCTCCCCATTCCCCCAACCCACTGGCAACTACCACTCTACTCTCTTTCTGAAACTTCCTCTTTTTTAGATTCCCAATATAAGCGATGCCATGCAGTATTTATTTTTGCAGCCACTTTAAAAACTTTATTTCACTTCAACTTCACCACAAGTACAACCATTGGCATAGTCTTCCAGATGGGAAAACTGAAGCCAAGTGACTTTTGCCAGTTGGATAGGTGGGTTAATAGTGGAATTGTCACACTTATGTTTTCTCACTTTGTTGGGACTCTCTGCTACACAATACAACCGAAAGTGTTAACGTAAAAACATGAACCAGCTTAAAATATCAGAAAAAAAAAATAGTAATGAAACTCTATGAGGAGGAAGAAAGGGCAGAGAACTAGAAGACCCCGGTTCTATTTCTGGACTCCGGCCCAAGTTGGCGCTCCTCACTTTGGACACGTCACTACCCTCCGTGCACAGGACAGCCATCTAAGCCAAGGGTTCAAGCTTTTCTCTTCTTCGGAAAAGGGAAGTGTGGTTCGTGATCTCCTTTGAGATGCAGATGAAAAAATGGCCCCTTGAGCAACAGTAAATGCACAGTTCCCGCAAAACCCATCCAGATAGGGAATTCCTGGCCCAATCCAGCTCCCTCCAACCTCGGGGCGGGCGGAGGCCAGAGAGTGCAGGGAGAGTGGGAGATGCGGATAGGGAAGAGAGGGAGTCCCCCACCCCTGGGTACCGCCCGACTTTGAGGTCCCGTCACTGGGTCCCGGCCGCGCACCGCCGTTCCCGCCACCCTGGACAGACGGGTCCGGAAGGCCCGCGACCCAGGCGCCCTCCTAGGGTCCCGACGCCCCAGGCCTCCGCTCAGAGGCGGCTCCTCGGCCCCGGCATGGAGAGCTCACCTTTCTCCAGAGACGCCAGCTCCTGCTCCACCGCCCAGCCCATGCGCTCCGGCGCCATGGCCGCTGCCTCCAGACCGCCGCCCGTCAGCGACCCGTCAGCCATTTCAAATTTCCGCGGACGGCAGCCCAGGCAACGACGTGATGACGCAGGCTCTGCTGATTTGATAGTCGGGCCGAGGCCGTGGACCAATTAGAGTCCGGCCCCGCTCCAGCCCCCACCAACACTGCCCCCTCGCCCCAGGCTGACAGCTGTTCTTGTTCAAGTGCCCGGCCTTTGCTTTTCTGGGATGAACTTGAAGAAAGTCGAATTGGAATATAATTTGGAATGATTTTCGAAAAAAACGAACCAGCAATGCCTGGAAATGAGATATAGTGGAAAAGTCACTGGGTTGAGAGTCAAAAAACATAGTATTTAAACTTACCTGGGCTATTCCTAGTGGTATTGCCTTGGGCAAGTCATTTCACCTCCCACAAGCACAACTTCAACTGAAAAGGATGCTGGCCTACGTGGGCCCAAAACTTTCACCACCAAACACCAGTCTCTCTCTGTCTTTCAATACACACACACACACACACACACACACAGAGAGAGAGAGAGAGAGAGAGAGCATATTTTCAAAGAATGTCAAATTAAATTTAGTAAGTAAATTTGTTAATTTGCATTAATCAAAGACAACTATAATCTCCATCATAATGGCTAACATTTACTGCATATTGTGTGCAAGATACCCTCCTGCATGCGTTACCTGGATTGTTCTGTTTAATCTTCACAATGATCCTATGAGACGGGAGCTATTACTATACCCATTTTACAAATGAGCAAATGGAGTCACTAAGAAGTTAAGTCACTTCTCCAATCTAACCCAGCAAAGCCAGGATGTGAAACCAGCCAGACTCCATGAAGAAGCCTTTTAATGTCTCTGCCAGGCCATCACTACTAGAATGATGAGGTCAGCCCAAGATAGCCCAGGTAACCAGGACACCAAGTGGGATGCGTCCACAGGGGACCAAGAGCCTGGTCATGACAGTTCGTCTGTGCAGTCTTAATGTGGGGAAACATTTCCACTTATTGCTTTGAAGAAACACCTTGGGCTAAAGTCTCTCGGATCCCTTACAGCTGAAATAAAATGGAGCCAGGAGGGGTGACTGGAAAGCTGCACTTAATTGGGCTAACTTTTCCAGGAAGTAAGATTTCTTTGACTTTTGTTTGCAGAATCTGACCTTACATTTATTTGCTCACTGAACAAATACATATTGAGCACCATGAGGTAAAAACACAGAAAACAATAATCAAGACTATCAACAGGCCTTGAGGATGACGCTAGCTTTTTCATTATTCTCTTCTTCAACCTTGCCGCCCACAAACCTCACAAATGGCAGCATTTCTCCTCACCCATTTGCAGCATCACTGGAGACAACACAGTTCTCTTCTCATCCAATTATCAAATATTTCATCAACCATCAAGATATTACTCAAACCAGGCTAGGCATAGTGGCTCATGCCTGTAATCCCACCACTTTAGGAGACCGAGGCAGGCGGATCACTTGAGTCCAAGAGTTTGAGACCAGCCTAGGCAACATGGTGAAACCCCATCTCTACAAAATTTTTTTTTTTTTTTTGTTATAGAAATCTGTTTAATGGTTTAGGAATGTGTACACTCTGGCTCTGCCAAGTTTCCATAAAGGCAACTTTTCCATGTTTTAAAAAATAGATTTGGTATAAAGATTTGTATATTCATAAATAGGTGGCATGAAAAATTACCAAATGCAAATGGAATACTTGCGCTGACTGAAGCCCTGTTCACCCCAAGTCCAGGCCCTGCAGGGGTCCGAGGGTCTCTGCTGGAGGAGGCCCCAACTCCGGCAGCCTCTTAGGGAAGAGAAACTGAATTAAATGTGTATTAGGAACCCCTCCAGCTCCTTAAGCCAGCGTCGCACTGGCCCCACCGAGGCCTCAGCCCACCTCCCTCTGCTTCCCCCCGCCACCTCCACCATTGCCCCCTCCCCTGCACTCTGGCCCCTGACCCCACCTGCTCCCACTCTTTGGCAATTTATCAACAAAGGAAGAGATGACACTGTTCTCCTTCCGCCCCAGAGCCCGGGCTGCCGGGAGAGCTTAGCCTGCCAAGGGGAGGAAACAAGCCGGCTTTGTTTTGTCTCACACACTTCCCCATCTTCTCTCCCAGCCCAGTTTTAAGGGCCGGAAGGGCAGTGGGGCCCCCTCCTGGTGGGATACAGCAGGGCAGGAGCCCCTGCAACCCCAGGTACAGGTCTTGAGTCCCTGGACACCGGCTTTTGTGCCTGAGAGGGGGTGGGAACGCTTCTCTGTAGGAAATGGCTTCAGTCCAGGATCCAGGGGTAGGGGAACCTCGACCATGGGGTGGGTTGCTCCTGCCAGGGGGTACTAGGGGCAAGGCCCCAGGGTGGAGCCAGTTCTGGGAGCTGTGTCCAGCTAGGCATCTGTGACCCCAAATGGCATGAATAAAAGGGCAGGTTGCTAAGAGCCAGGGGAGGGCATGGGGCAGGGAGACCAGGTTGGCCCAGACAGGACAGAGGTGCTCCAGGGACAGGGTGCTGGAGTGAAGCCAGGTGGAGCGGTGGAGCTGTGGAGCCTTTGAAACATCCTGAGGGCCCAGGCCTGCCACAGGGTGACCTGGGCAGAGGAGAAGCCCAGAGGACAGCAAGGTGCCCAAATGAGGTCAGGGCTTCTGGGGTGGAGGGACGGGGGGGCACAGTGGCGGCGGGGGAAGGAACGTTGAGTCCCAGGTGAGCCTGCCTTTCCAGGCCAAGCCCTTGGAGTGAGGGTGCTCCTGCCTGGGGGGCGAGAAGTGGAAGTGGCTCACAGTCCAAGGTGACAAATGAACCCATCACCGGTCAGCTACCATCCCTGTGAAGGAGCCAGGGTGGAAGGCCCTGTCCATGTCCTCCCTCCCTCCCTAAGCCCTGAGGAAGGTAACAGCCCCACCTGTGAGGCCCCAGCCTGGAAGCAGAGTAGGAGAGCCGGGCTTCTTAGAGGTGGGCAGTGGGTGGTGGTGGGCAGTACTGGTAAGTATGCTTGGGTGGCTGGGACTTGCCCTGGAACTGGGGCTGAAATTCAAACGGGGAGGCCCAGGCCTTTGTTCCCAAGACCCTGTGAATGCTCCCTGTTCCCCCAAAAACAGAGGGGCTCTGCAAGGACAGGCTTCATGGGATTTCTCTTTCAGAGTGGGCCTGCAGTGAAAGACCAGCTCAGCCCCTTCTGACCATGTGACCCCAGAAACTTCAGCCCCAGCAGAAAGGTTGTGAGGCTGGAGGAAGGCACTGCCCACGGCACATCCAGTCCCAGCGGGGTCTGGGGGCACCCCTCAGTGCCAGGCACTGTCTGCCCTGCAAGGGGAGCCCAGGCACTGCAGTGGAGGCGCAGGGGCAGAGCCCAGACCCCACTCAGCTCCACTCTCACCCCTGCCACAAGCAAAGCTGCTGAGAAAGGGAGCCAGGCAGCCTCGCCTCTGGTGCCCCCCAATCTGATGCACCCAGACTCCCCTCAATGCAGGTGCCAGCCCCTCAGCTCCTGGCAGCCTTCCTCCCCTGCAGAACCAGGCTCAGCCATTCCACAGGTAGCCTCCCTGCCCAAAAGGAAGCCTGGCAGGTGAGATGCTGGCTCCACCACCAGCATCAAGCCCTGCTTGTCTCAGTCTCAGCAGAGGAAGCCCTGTCCAGGCCCCAACCCTGCCTCTTGGGTCACCGTGGCACTGCTGTAAGGCCTGCTCTTGCCCTATGGCCAGGCCTGCCTGGAAAGTGCTTAGTGCAGAGGGCAGGGAGGCATGGGGGAGGCCTCTCACTGGCCCAGGGACTGCACTGAGCCATGCCTGGCCTGGCCCTGGGAGCTAGACCACAAACCGACGCAGCCCTGCTCGTGGGTCCAAGAGCTGCTTACTTCTGGGGGCACCCATGCTGAGGGGGCTGCGAGGCAGAGCTGGGCTGACACAGACGGACTGGGATTGGCTAAGGAAGATCACTTGGCCCCTCCAGCCCTAGCCCTGGCTCTTTTGTCACTGTGATACCTCTGAGCCACATGCCCAGAGGACAATGCTGCTTCCCACATCCCCCTACCCCACTTTTGCCTTCTAACCTTGGTGCCCAGCTCAGGGTGAGGCAGTTAAGGGTCCAGGGAATAAAATGGGCCAGGCCAAGGACCGCCAGGGCCTCTCCTTTTTTGTCTGGGAGACTCGATTCCATAAACTAGACTGGGACCCACGCTCGGCTGGCAGGATTCCTGCTTGTGGGGTAAGGCTGGGTGCCTTGCGGTGCCCTCTCATCCCTGAGCCTCAAGGATGCAAGCTTCTACTTGGACCTTAAATGTCCACTTTCTCATCTCATTCCCCCACCTGCCAGACTTCTGAGTGCTGGCACTGAAGGATTAGCTAATTTTGCAACCTGAGTGGCAAAACACTGGGCCCTGAGCCAGCAGACAGTCCCCACCTAGCTGTGGGCCGTGACCCCACCTAGCTGTGGGCCGTGACCCCATGCTGTGCTGATGAAAATGAGAAGCTACACAGAAAGTCAGAAAACTCAGAGGTCCTGATAAGGCAGTGAGCCAGACCCCAGGGAGATGTCTGTGAGTGCTGCGGGGGCAGTGAAGGCAGGAAGCAGGTTCCCCGCCTGGAAGGGGCTGGGGCTTCCCTGGAGCTGCGCTCAGGCACCAAGTCTGTGGGTTTCATGGCTCTAGCTCTGCTGCTCTGTGCAGAGCCCCAGGATGACCGGGAAGAACCCAGGGCACTGGACACATCCCTGGAAAGCAGCAACCTGCTGCCACAGGTAAAGCAAACCCATGAGAGGAAACGGTCAGAGCCAGCAGGCATGGGACAGGGAGGACTGCTGGCCCCTCCTACTGTGGCCCACACCGGCGGGTTCAGGCCAGTCTTGGAATGTGAAGATGGTGGAGGGCCAGCTGCTGGCTGGCAGGGTGGCCCGCCAGGGTATCCTGCTTCCCCTTCCTCAAGGAGAGCCTCCATCCCGCAGCCAGGCCACAGGATGCAGAGCTCCAGAGCTTCACCCGGCTGCTGTAGTTGCCGGTACCCAGGAGGGCTGGCTCTGGAGGGCTGGGCTTGGCAGGCTGGGGAGAGCAAGGAGGTGGGGAGCCCCCAGTCTGCCGGCCCGGCCCCTGGTCAGCACCCGCAGCCCCAGCCTTCTCCGATGTCCTTGCTGTTCAGCTGGATGTGGTCGGGGCTCTTCTCGCTGAACAAGGGGCCCCCGTGCCGCATGATGAGCTCCGTGGCCACCCTCAGGAAGGCCTCCTCCACGTTGCTCGAGTCCTTGGCAGACGTCTCAATGGCACACAGGATGTCATAGTGCTCAGCCAGGCTCTGTGCCTCAGCCAAGGAGACCTCCCGAAGCTCGCTGAGGTCTGACTTGTTCCCGATCAGCAGCTGCACAATGTTGGAGCCCGCATACTTCCTCACATCCTCAATCCAGTGAGGCACCGACAGGAAGGAGCTCCTCTTGGTGATGTCGTAGGCAAGGATGGCCCCATTGGCACTGCGGTAGTAGCTCTGGGTGATGGTGCGGAACCGCTCCTGGCCGGCCGTGTCCCAGATCTGCAGCTTGACCCGCTTGCCCTGGATCTCCAGCGTCTTCATGGTGAAGTCGACGCCGATGGTGCTTCCCTGGCGCTCCGAGAAGGCGCCGGTCTTGAAGCGCTGCACCACGCACATCTTGCCCACGCTTGCGTCGCCCACCAGCACCAGCTTCTACAAAATATTTTTTTAAAAAAATTATCTGGGTGTGGTGGCATGCAGCTGTGGTCCTAGCTACTTGGGAGGCTGAGGTGGGAGGATCTCTTGAGCCCAGGAGGCAAAGGTTGCAGTGAGCCAAAATTGTGCCACTGCACCCCAGCCTGGGCAACAGAGTTAGTCGTGTCTCAAAAAAAAAAAAAAAAAAAAAAAACATAAATATAAATATATGTATATTACTCAAATTACTGCTTCTGGGAAAAGTCTTGGAAAGGAACAGGAGGCAACAGGGTCAAAGACCAAATACCTATGCTTTTGCAAACTCCACTAAGAACAAACTATTAAATCAAATACGTTTGCCTGTTGTGGTGGCTCACACTTGTAATCCCAGCACTATGGGAAGCTGAAGAGGGCAGATCACTTGAGGTCAGGAGTTTGAGACCGGCCTGGCCAACATGATGAAACCCCATCTCTCCTAAACATAAAAAAATTAGCGGGGACTGGTGGCGTGCACCTGTGGTCCCAGCTACTCAGGAAGCTGAGGCAAGAGAATCGCTTGAACCCGGGAGGCAGAGGTTGCAGTGAACCAAGATCATGCCACTGCACTACAGCCTGGGCCACAGAGTGAGACTCTGTTTAAAAAAAAAAATGCAGCACTGTGATAGAAAATGATGGGGGGAGACAAATTCAGACTTTAATGCAAAACACCTGATTTTAAACTTAGCAACTAACTTTTTAAAAATTTAAACACTATACAAGCCACAAAAACTTTATTTCTTAGGCCAAATTGTCCCATGGCCCACCAGATTGCAACCTCCATTCTGAGCCCAAACTACTCAGGGCACAGTGCAGGGACCAGGAGGAGTTTGTTGGAAATGCAGTCTCTCCCACGCCAACCCCAGACCTGCTGGATAAGAATCTGTGTGTGGCAAGATCCCTAGTCCCCAAGTGACATCATTCACATTTGATGCAAAGCCCTTCTGAACTGACCTCTCTCCTGAGGCCTTATCGGTTTTCACATTCCTGCTGGAAAACTTGATGTAGGTTCTTGCCTGTGATTCACCTTCACTGTGCTGCAAAGCCGGATCCAAGCATAGCCCTTCCTCCAGCGCAGATGCCTCAGCTTCATCCTACTTCCCTTCCACAGCCTGTGTGGGCCCCCACCATCTCGCACTCCCGCTGCTGGGAGAGCCTCTCGGAAGTTGCCCTCTGAGAAGCCTCCACCTACCCTACCCCACCTCCAAAATGAAATGCTCCCCTCTCACTGTCCCTAATACAGGAGTCGCAAACTTAAATGCCCCAAAAAGCTAGGCTGATACCAAGCAGAGAAGCGGCCACTGGTGTATGTGCAGTGGGGTGTGAACCCGGTGTTGCTAGGGTGGCCTTTCAAGAAAAGTCAGAAATCAAGATTTTTTGAGATATCTCCATATTAAAATGTGACCAACAGGCTGGGCGCAGTGGCTCACACCTGTAATCCTAGCACTTTGGGAGGCAGATTGCTTGAGGCCAGGAGTTCCAGACCAGCCTGGCCAACATGGCGAAACCCGTCTCTACTAAAATTACAAAAAAATTAGCTAGGTGTGGTGGCGGGCGCCTGTAATCCCAGCTACTTGGGAAGCTGAGGCACGATAATCGCTTTAACCTAGGAGGCTGAGGTTACAGTGAGCCAAGATCATGCCACTGCACTCCAGCCTGGACAACAGAGTGAGACTCTGTCTCATAAAGAAAAAAAAAAAGAAAATGTGACCAACAGGTTTCAAAAATGTTAAACACCATGCCAGCCAAATAAACCTATCTATAGACCACCAGTTTGCAATTTCTGAGACTTAGTCCACTTGTTATATTGTGTCAGAGTCTGTGAGTTCTTCCAAAGCAGGAAACATGTCCTGTTCCCTTTTGTATTGCTAGCACCTACAACTAAGCCCGACTTAGTAATGGGAAAAACTAAATAATATTGTTCTCTTCTATAGAATGTGATATCACTATGTCATTAGCCAAATGGCTCAGGTTTAGAGTCAAGCACTGGGGGCCTGGACCATGAGCATCTGCACCCAGCTCCCGGCAGGAACCACAGATTCATCAGCAGTATCACTGCCTGAGTCAGGGTTGGTGAAGGCTGCCTGTATTTGGGGTCCTCTGCCTCCAAATCAGACTGTCAGCTTCCCCAAGAACAGAACAGAATTTGCTATGGGCTTTTGATCCCCTGGGAGACGAGGGTCCCTCTATAAGTTGTTACTGGATCTTCATGTGAATGCTTTGAGAGCAGATATGGACCAGGACAGACAGTGCATATTCTAAACAGCAGAGAAAGGGAGGGAGGGAGCCCCAGTCCTAGGAGGGGTCCCATCGGGGTGAGGCTTGTCTCTCCATCTGCAGTTGTACAGAGCCTGGGTGGGCCTGAGTGTCTTCTGTAGGAGAAAAAGGTGGCCTACCTTGCCAAAGGCTGCAGGGAGAGGACAGACTCTCCAGATCTCCAATCTGCCACTCTGATTGGAGAGTCTGGGGCTCCCCCCATGACGAAAACAAAAACAAAGAAGAGCCAGGCTGGAAATTTGGCTTGCGTTTTCCACTAGAGGGCAGCTTAAATTTTCCAAAGAAAATAAATCTTGTCCACTTCGTGAAGCATTGAGGAGTCCTTTCAGTTTTCTCTTGAGCGACCAGGCCCTGCATGAGGCCCCTGGGGATGAGAAGGGAATGAACTTAGCCCTTGCCTCATGGAGCTGGCAGTCGGGTGGGGAAGCAGCAAATGAAAAAGCAGACACCCAGCGAGGGGGCAGTCAGAACCTAGAAGAGTTGCCATCAAGGAGAAAGCTGCTGTCAGGAGACAGAATCTCAGGCAGGGCCTCTGCATGGAGGTCTTGGGAAGATCTCCCTGAGAAGAGGGCGTTGACTAGGAGTTTCAGGATAAGATGCAGGCAGCTGCTGGCCAGAGGTGGAGTGGGACAGATTCTGGAAGAACAGAGGTGGGAATTAAGGAGGGAGAGTGGGGATCCAGGAAGAGGGGAGCCCCAGCTCGAGAAGCCCTGAGACATGAGAGAGGGTGGGGTTCCAGAAACAGAACGGCATCCTTGAGGGCTCAGCATAGAGTGTGAGAGGGGGAGTGGCCAGAGATGACGTTCTGGGGTAACAAAGCCTCAAAGGCCTTTGAAAAAGTTCAGATTTTAATCTACATGTAATGGGGTGCCATTGATTAGCTTCAAAGAAGAAAAGAGGTGACTTGACTGCTGCTCTGGCAAGAGCTATCTGGCTGTTGTGTGGAGGACACACTGCAGGACTTAGCGTTTGGGAACATCTGCTTCCTAGCCACAACATTGTGTAAAACAAACAGGAACACCGCACATTGCACAGTGCTCTCTCGTTTACAAAAGGGGTTTCATTGGATGCCCAGCCCCCCTCCTTCCCCTTCCCCAACTTTACTATGAGATGTTTTTAGCCTCAATTTATACTAGAGGAAATTTGTTTAGTGAGTTCTTACGAGGTGCCCAGAGTCAGAGGGATCAATATACGGAGGAGACTGGATTCAAACCAAGGTTGACCTGACTTCCAGCTGAGGGCTCTTTTAATTATGGCCTTGGCTCTATGGCCCAAATATATATATATATATATATATACATACACACACACACACACACACACACACACACACATACACACAAACACACACACACATAATGTGTGCAAATTTTTTATATGTTTATATGTATATAAATATAATATATAAAATATATACAAAAATGTGTATATATTTATATGTAAAATATATACAAAAATGTGTATATATTTATATGTAAAATATATACCAAAATGTGTATATATTTATATGTAAAATATATACAAAAATGTGTATATATTTATATGTAAAATATATACCAAAATGTGTATATATTTATATGTAAAATATATACAAAAATGTGTATATATTTATATGTAAAATATATACCAAAATGTGTATATATTTGTATATATGTGTATTCCTATTTTATAATTTATATATAAACAGATAAGTGTATATATATGTGTGTGTATATATATATATATATTAGCACACATCATGTAAAATGGATGCTCATATCCTGGTCTTTGAAACCCTGCAGAAGCAGGTCAGGCATTTAACTCTATATGCTCTATGTGTCTGGATGTATGTAGTCTGGGAAACCAGTCCAGGACACAAGTGAAAATTCTTCAGAAAGTAAGAAGAGGAAAGGGGAGCCAGTGTCCAATGATCTGCCCTCTCCCTCCAAGCCACGAACACCTCTACCCCTGCGCAGGCCAGTGTTTGTGCGTATATCACACCTACTGAAAGAACAGATCGATGTGCTTGCTTCTGGATGTGAAAAGTAATTGGGGCCAGGCACTCATGCATGTAATCCCAGCACTTTGGGAGGCTGAGGTGGGTGGATCACCTAAGGTCAGGAATTCGAGACCAGCCTGACCAATATGGTGAAACCCCGTCTCTACTAAAAATACAAAAATTAGCTGGGTGCGATGGTGGGTGCCTGTAGTCCCAGCTTCTCAGGAGGCTGAGACAGGAGAATTGCTTGAACCCAGGAGTGAGAGGTTGCAATGAGCCGAGATCTTGCCACTGCACTCCAGCCTGGGTGACAGAGCAAGACTCCATCTCAAAAAAAAAAAAAAAAGAGTAACTGGGACTAAATTTACTTTTCCGTCAACAAACAACTAGAAAACTGGACAAAATATATGAAACGATAGTTTTCAAGCAATGGACATGGCAGGACAATGATCCCTGAAAGAAGGGAAACAAATTATGCGAGTCCCGTCATTACCCTGACTTTCTGCCTGAGGCACCTTCCAGACTGCAGCCAGGAAAGGGAAATTTTGGCACAGCACAGCATCTCACTGAGCTGAGGAAACAGAGACCAGAGTTTGGAGAGAAAGAGAGAGAGGTAGCTGGAATTTTGAAAAAAAAGTACCAAGAGACTTGACCACAGGTCAGGCACGGTGGCTCACACCTGTAATCCCAGCACTTTGGGAGGCCAAGGAGGGCAGATCACTTCAGTCCAGGAGTTTGAGACAAGCCTGGGCAAAATAGCTAGACCCCATCTCTAAAAAAAATTACCTGGGTGTGGTGGTGCACACCTGTAGTACCAGCAATCTGGGAGGTTGAGGTGGGAAGGTCACTTAACCTCAGGTATTCGAGGTTGCAGTAAGCTATGATTGTGTCACTGCACTCCAGCCTGGGTGATAGAGCAAGACTGTCTCAAAAAAAAAAAAATCACAAAAAGAATGCCAGAAATCTGCAGAGGGTTCGCCTCTAGTCTCTTTCTGAATACTAAGCCGCATGTGAATAGGGTGAAACTCCATGAGGCTGGGCAAAGAGCCCAGTTAAACCATTACCACAACTCACACAGGGATGAGAGACATTTGAGTTCAGACCAGGCAGAGTGGCGACTCCTGAAAGGACTAGTTATCTAGAATACAAACACTCACAAAACTCTACACAGTGAGGGAAACAAACCAACTAAAAAATGGGCAAAAATGTGAGCAGATATTTTCACTGAAGAGGATATAAAGATGGCAACTAACATGAGAAAAATGCTCAACATCACTAACCACTACGGAAATGCAAATTGAAACTGCTATGGGACTTTAGGTGTCTATTTTCTGGCTGGGTCAGAAACCTCTGTGGCCCCGCATCGAGTTCTTGTCTTGGTCTGTGTCCAGGAAGAATGAGGTATGAATGAGATACTCAGTAAAGGTGAACGAGATGAGGACGAGCTTGATTAAATGTTAGAACAGCACTCAGGAAACGGTAGCACTCAGGAAACTCTGTAGGCAGGTCATCCATTAAGTGTTCAGTTCTCAGCAGAGGAGAATCCCTGAAGACAGTGGCTCCTCGTTGCCTGCAGGTCCTCCCCGCAGCTCTTCAGCAAGACAGGGTAAGTCCTCTACCCAGCTCTTCAGCGGGAGACAGTAAGGTCTGCAGCTCTCAGAAGAGAGGCAGCTCTGGAGAGTGGCTCCTCGCTGCTGGCAGGTCCTCTCCGCAGCTCCTCAGCGGGAGAGGGTAAGGGTCCCTCTCCGCAGCTCCTCGGCGGGAGAGGGTAAGGGTCCTCTCCGTAACTCCTCAGCGGGAGAGGACTTTCTCCGCAGCTCTCAGTGGAGAGGCGGCCCTGGAGAATGGCTCCTCTCTGCTGGCAGTTCGATTCTGCAGCTCTCAGCAGAGATGATAGGTCCTCTCTGCAGCTGGTCATCCCATTCGCTCCACCTGTCGGCAGAGAGAACACGCCTCTCTGCAGCTGATATCAGATGACTTCTACCCTCTTCGTTGTCTGACCGTTTTCTGCCCTACTCTGGCTGAGCCCAGGGCTTTTACAGACCTCAGAGGGGAGGAAGTGCCTGCTGATTGGTCCATGAGTGGCCATGGGTGGGCCCAAAAGAGACACCACAGGTCCCCACTCCAGTCCGCTGGATTGGTAGCGCGGCTCCCAGCCTTCAGGCCCTCCCTGGCCTAAAGGTGAGGCCTTTCCGGGACCCGTCCCCTTCCGCCCAGGCCTCCTGCTGCCATTCATGGCCCTAGGATTCGGCCCCAACCCCGCTCTGAGATCGGAGCAGGTGCAGGAGAGGAGAGGGGACAGGCAGCGGAAGCAGATGCCCCCAGCCTGCAGGGATGAGGGTGGGGTGTACCTGTCCTGGGCCGGAGGGTGTGGCTGCAGAGATGCCCGGGTTCTGCACCTGGGAGGGTGCTGCAGTTGCACCCGGGGAACTCCCACCCCAACAACTCAGAAGGGGTGGGGTTCCTGCTTGTCCCTGTCTCCTGCCTGCTCCGTGGAGCGGGAGGACCAAGTCTATAGCCAGTCCAGAGGCTGCAGGTGCACCCAGGAGGGCAGATCTTCCCTGCTCCTGTCCCCCTCCAAAAGCACAGGGAGGCTCGGATCCACAGCCCTAGTTTGGGTGGCTGTTGCCCCGCCCAGGAGGGCAGGCTCCTGCCTGCTCCGTAGAGCAGGAGGCCTGGGTCTGCAGCCCTGGTTTGGGCAGATGCAGTGGCTCCCACCAGCTCCATGGAGTGTGCAGCCCCAGCCACGCCTCCCTGCTGCAGCCAGCGGTGATGGCAGCAGCCACTGCCATCAAAACCACAATGAGATATCACTGCATGCCTATCAGAATGGCTAGAATAAAAAATCAGAAAAACAGGCAGGGTGTGTTGGCTCACTTGAGGCCAGGAGTTTGAGACCATCCTGGCCAACATGGCAAGACCCCATCTCTACAAAAATACAAAAATTAGTCGGGCATGGTGGTGTGTGCCTGTAGGTCCCAGCTACTCGGGAGGCTGAGGCAGGAAAATCGCTTGAACCCAGGAGGCAGAGGTTGCAGTGAGCCAAGATTGCACCACTGCACTCCAGCCTCAGTAACAGAGCAAGACTCTGTCTCAAAAAATAAAATAAAATAAAATAAAATAAAATAAAATAAAATAAAATAAAATAAAAATTAAGGAAAATGTCAAAATGCTGGTGAGGATACAGAGGAACTGGATCGCTCAAACGTTGCTGGCGGGAATGTAAAATGATAACAGCTACTCTGGAAAACAGTTTGGCACTTTCTTAAAAGAAACAAACAACTACTATATGACCCACGACCATACTCCTGGGCATTGATCCCTGAGAAATGAAAATTGTGTTCATGCAATCACCTGTACACTAATATTTATAGCAACTTTATTCCTAATAGCCCAGAACAGGAAAAAAAAAAAGCCTTCAATAGGTGAATGGTGAAACTGATATCTCCACAACATGTGTATCAGTCAGAGTCCTCCAGAGAAACAGAATCAATAGATTTTACACACACACACACACACACGCACGAGAGAGAGAGAACTTTAAGGAGATAGGTCATGCAATTGTGGAGTCTGGCAAGTTCACAAACAGGCAGGCTGGAGACTCAGGTAGGAGTTGATGCTGTAGTTTTGCAGCAGTTTCTTCCTCTCCTTCCTCAAGGGAAACCTTGGTTTTTGCTCTTAAGAACTTCAACTGATTGTATGAGGTCCACCCATATTATCAGTCTCCTTTACTTAAAACCATTGATTGTAGATGGTAACCACATCTACAAAATATCTTCACAGCAATACCTATATTCTCGTTTAATTAAATGACTAGGTACTATAGCCTAGCCACATTGACACTTAAAACTAACCATTATACCATACTTAGCAATTAAAAGGAGGAAACTACTACTATCCATAACAAACTGGATGACTCTCCAGAGAACTTTGCTGAAAAAAAAAGCCAATCCCAAAAGGTTACATACTGTATAATTCCATTTATATAATATTTTTGAAATGATAAATTTTTAGAACTGGAGGAGGAATTAGTGGTAGCCAGAGATAGAGAGAGGGGTGGGGGTGGTTGGGAACAGGAAGGAGGAAGGTGTGGTCATAAAACTGCAACATGAGGATCCTTGTGATGCTGGAACTGATCAGTTTCTTAACTGTGGTGTTGGACAATGAACCTACACAGGGGATAACTTGTGTAACACTACACTCACACACACACATGCCTATACATACATATACACACATACAATGAGCACAAGTGAAATTAGGGAAATCTGATTGAGGTTAGTGGATTGCATCAATGCCAATACCCTCATATAATAGATACTATGTCATTCTATATTTCCACATATAAGGGATACTATTACACTATATGTTCAAATGTTACCATTGGAGGAAACAGGACAAAGTGAGTGGCCATCCTCTGTGTCATTTTTTTTAAATCAATTTTATTAACTTATAATTTACATCAACATAATGCACCCATTTTAAGGGTACACTTCTATGTTTTGACAAATGTATACAATTGTGTAATCACCGCCACAAAAAAAAAATGTAGAATATTTTCATCATCCCAAAAGATTCCTTATGTCTCTTCCCAGTCAAACATCCTCCCCACAAAACCCCTACTTCTAGACCCTGGTAACCTTGATCTACTGTCACTATAGATGTGTCTTTTCTAGGTTTCATATAAATAGAATCATAGAGTGTGAATACTGTATGATTGCAATTACATGACATTCTAGGGAAGGCAAAACTATGGAAACTAAAAAGATCAGTGGTTGCCAAGGGTTGGAGGAGAGAGAGTGGGATGAACAGGCAGAACACAGGATTTTTAGGGCAGCGAGTCTTTTCTGTATAATACTATAATCATGCATACATATTACAGTATACATTTGTCAAAACCTATAGAATGCACAACACCAAGAGTGAACCCTAATGCAAATTATGGACTTTAGGTTGATAATGATGTGTTGTCAATGCAGGTTCATCAGTTCTAACAAATGTATCACTCTGGTGGGGGCTGTTGATAATGGGGGAGGCTGGGGTAGGGTATATGGGAACTCTCTGTACTTTTCACTTAATTTTGCTATGAACCTAAAACTGCTGTTTAAAAAATAAAGATTTTTTAAAAAGAAAAAAGTAAGAACAGCTCACAAATCTTAAACGCATTTGATACATTCTTTTTAACTTTTTTTAATTAAAAAAAAAGGCTGGGTGTGGTGGCTCACACCTATAATTCCAGCACTTTGGGAGGCCATGGCGGGAGGATTGCTTGAGCCCAGGAGTTGGAGACCAGCCTGGCCTCCATAGTGAGATTTTAAAAGAGGAAAGAAAGAGAGAGAGGAAAGAAAAGGAAGGGAGGAAGGGAAGGAGGGAGGGAGAGGGAGAGGCAGAGAGAGAGAGAGAAAGAAAGGAAGGAAAGAAGGAAGGAAGGAGGGAGGGAAGGAAGGAAGGAAGGAAGGAAGGAAGGAAGAGAAAACAGCTCAGCGCCTACCAGACCTATAAATTGTAGAGTCTTCAGGGCTGGATCCACCTATCCTTCATGTCTCTGTTCTTTCACTGGGCAATTTCATCCAGTCTTACTACAACTACAACTCTAATATGTATGGACCATTTTTCTTAGCACTAGCTCTCCATATCCCATTGTCTACTACATATTTAAAATCAGCAGGTCCAAACCTAAACTCTTTATCAGCCCCCTCAAACTCGACCTCCATCCAGGATTCTCCACTTACGTACGTGATACCATTATCTATCCAGTTTCTCAAGAGAAAATAGAGGAGTCACCTCTCTACATCCAATCCATCAGCAAGTCTTGTAATCCAACTTCCAAAGCATATACCAAATTCTTAACACTTCTCACTCCTTCTCTGCAGTCATCACCCTATTCCAAAACATGATCATCCCTTGTCTGGGCAACTGCAATTACTTCTTAATTGGTCTCTGCCTCCCCAGCCTAGAGTAAATGATCTGCTATTCTTATAGCCCCCTGCATTCTTCCTATGCAGCTCTTATCACAATTTACACTTTTCTGGTTTTCCTGCCTCCCCTTTAACAGACAGCACTGGCCAGCCTGACAGCTTCCCCTTGGAATCCCAGTGTTTTTGGGAGGCCAAAGTAGGAGGATCACTTAAGGCCCGGAGTTTAAGACCAACCTGGGCAACATAGCGAAACCCCATCTCTACTAAAAATTTAAAAATTAGCCAGGCACAGTGACCCGCACCTCTAGTCCCAGCTACTTGGGAGGCTGAGGTGAGAGGATTCCTTGGAGCCCAGGAGTTCGAGTCCGCAGCCAGTTATGATTGCACCATTGCACTCCAGCCTGGGTGACAGAGTGAGACGCTCATCTCTTTAAAAAAAAAAAAAAAAAAAAAAAAAAAAAAAAAAAAAAAAAAAAAAAAAACGACCGTGAGCTCCATGAGGACAAGAGTCAGGTCTGCTTTCTTATCATCTTGTCCCAGTGGCCTGCACACTAGCTGGCACACTAAATGTTCATAGAACTCATCAGTAAGGAAATCAGGACATGGCATGCATACTGCCGAGGACCAGGCCCATAGCCACCTTTCCAGTAGGCTCCTTTCAACAGAGGGGCTGCCCCCGTTGCACTTCCCATGTGGTTTTGTTTACAAGTGTTTAACTTACCAGCAACTTCTTCTCAGGATCACACATGTGCCTCTGCATGCAGTGGAATTCTCTTTGGTCTTTGATTCATGTCCCTTCTCAGAAAGGCCTTTCATGACCGCCAATCTAAACTAGATCTCACCTCATCATCCCATCATCCTCCAGCACCACACCCGGTTAGTTTCCTGCAGTGCGTTTTCACAATCTGTAATTATGAATTTCTTTCTCTACTTGTTTGTTCTCTGTCTCCCACTGAGGATGAGGACTATGAGAACGATGTTCTGTCCACTAATATCTCCTCAGTACCCAGTACAGAGCCTGGAACCTGGTTGGAGCCTAATAAATATTTCTTGAGTGGATGAAAGGGTGCACGGAAAGTCCTCTTGGCCCTAATTAAACAACCAGTTCCAAAAAATGGACACTTTCTCAGAAATTGGAATGAATGTGATTTTTCTGCTTCAATTCTCACTAACCTGCCCAGAAACCTCCTGGATTCTTGGAATGTCTGTTAAGAATTCCAGCTAGCCCAGTGAACATTTGCACACAGCACAGCTGGGCTGGCGGGTTCATGATGCAAGGAGGCCTGTTCTCCCCTCCTCCACCACCCCCATCACTGCTCTCACCCAGACCTTCCTCCTGTCCTCCTAAGGAAAGTCCCCTAGAATGGAACAACCTCTCCCTCGGGAAGCCTCCCAGCCCTTTTGTCTGAGGGAGCCTCACATTTTATTCTTCCTCAGAGGACACTCTTGAACAGCTTGGGTGATGTGCCCTGGGAAAGGCATCATTCCGTATAGCCCTGAGCTCAGAAGCAGAGCCAGGAGGCATTGTCTCTTCGGGACTAAGGGTTTCTTCTCTTCTCAACCCATACCTGAGCCTTGGTTCATCCCACACAGTCCCATGACTTTAAGCTCTGTCTACATCTTCACTCCTCAAAGCCTGCCCTGTGGACCAGCCGCAGCACCTGAGAGAGTGTTCGAAATGCAGATTCCCAGGCACTGCCTGGTCCTACTAAATCAGCATCTGCATTTTAACAGATCCCCAGGTGACTCACAGCACACGACAGTGTGTTCCTCCATGCCTGATGACTCCCAAGTTACCTCCTGTCCTGACATCTGTCCCAGCCACTCTGCAGCTGCTAATGTCACATCTCGGCCTGGAAGCCCATCAGGGATCTGAAACCCAACATGTCCAAACCAAACTCTTAGTTCCTGCTCTCTAGGCGTGCTCCTCCCCAACCCTCTGGGCCATGATATCTTCTGGCACAAGGCACTCCTTAGGCACTGACTGAATAACTCATTCTTCATGGTCTGATTAGTTGCTCAATTGCTGAATTGGAGGCCAAGAAGAGTTGTAAGGAGAGCATAACAAGTGATAAAAAGCCTCAGGGCCAGGGCATGATTGTGCACACCTGTAGTCTCCACTACTTCGGAGACTGGAGGGAACCTTGAGCCCAGGAGTTTGAGGCCAGCCTGGTCAACATAGCAAGACAGTCTCTAAAAAAAAAAAAAATGTCTGAGGGATGTTGGAGTTATACAGCATTCCAACACAGTCCCCTCTTGTGTCCAGCTTACTGACTTTATCATAATGAACTCCATCCATGTGTATCAACTTGGATACATCCCAAAGCATTGCTGAATAACGAGAAGAGGCAAATGGCATGCTGGACCTACAGGAGTGACCACTAGCGCTGTCTACCAAATATTTCCAGTTCCCGCAGGCACAAACTTTCCCTTTCCTTAGAGTTAGGTGATTCTGTTACAGCAGGCAGGTAGCCAGGCAGGGGCAGCTTTCTTTTTGCATGTCTCTAGTGTGAATTCTTTCCTTCAAGAAGACCAAGAACCGGAGGACTCCCTTGCCTCTCTGGGTAACAATTCCACATGACTCGCCCTGGTCATGGAAATATGAGAAGCAACATGAATCACTTCTGGATGGAAGCTTTAAGGGACAATCCACTCTTTTTTTCTTCTTCCCTTTCTCAGCCTCTCGGCCTGAGTCTCTTAGTGGCTCCAATGAACAGATCCCTGTTGTAGACACTTGTCAACCATGTGTTGGAGTGAGAAGTAAATATTTGCTGAGCCACTGAAATTTTGGAATTATTTGTTACCACACCAAAGCCTGCCCCTTCCTGAGTGATACATCCACACATGCATGCACACGTACACACAGACACACACACACACACACCACCAATAGATATGTTTTCTGAGAACATACTATATTATGGAAGTATCTTTAGGGCTGGGTGCAGTGGCTCGTGCCTGTTATCCCAGCACTTTGGGAGACCGAGGCAGGAGGATCGCTTGAGCCCAGTAGTTCAAGACCAGCCTGGACAACATAGGCAGACCCTGTCTCTACAAAAAATAAAATTAGCTGGGCATGGTAGTGCATGCCTGTGGTCCAAGCTACTGGGCAGGATGATGTGGGAGGATTGCTTGAACCCAGAAGACTGAGGCTGCAGTGAGCCGAGATTGCGCCACAGCACTCCAGCCTGGGTGACAGAGGGAGACCCTGTCTCTAATTAATTAATTAATATCCCATATATCTTTTGTATAAGTAATCCATGTTCACTATAGAAAATTAGAAAATAAGAACAAGCTTTGGGCATCTCATCACTCACAAGACCTCATCATGGTCTGAGAAAGCCCATTCCCTTCCACCCATCTCAGAGGCTAAATCTACTCTGTGGCACCCACACAATTTGCTTTGCTTATAGCTGCAGTTCTCCACCCACTTAGGATTTAATTGGCTTGGAGTGGGGCCCAGGTATTCACATTTTTAAAAAATGCCTTTAGCCTAGGTATGGTGGCCCATGCCTGTAATCCCAGCACTTTGGGAGGCAGAGGTAGGAAGATGGCTTGAGTCCAGGAGTTTGAGGCCAGCCTGGGCAAGAAAGCAAGAGCTTTGTCTCTACAAAAATAAAAATTTAAAAATCAGCCGAATGTAGTGCTGCGCACCTGCAGTCCCAACTACTCAGGAGGCTGAGGTGGGAGGATCACTTGAGCCCAGGAGTTCAAGGCTACAATGAGCTATGATTGTACCACACACTTCAGCCTGGAAAATAGAGTAAGACTCCATCTCTTAAAAAAAAAAAAACTGCCTTCCCAGCAGCCCCAGTTAGGGGCTTATAGATAAAACTCCCATCTCCCTGGGACAGAGCACCTGGGGAAAGGGGCAGCTGTGGGTGCAGCTTCAGCAGACTTAAACATTCCTGCCTGCCGGCTCTGAAGAGAGCAGTGGATCTCCCAGCACAGCGTTCGAGCTCTGCTAAGGGACAGAGTGCTTCCTCAAGTGGGTCCCTGATGCCTGTGCCTCCTGACTGGGAGACACCTCTCAGCAGGGGTCAACAGACAACTCATACAGGAGAGCTCCGGCTTGAATCTGGCAGGTGCCCTTCTGGGATGAAGCTTCCCAAAGGAAGGAACAGGCAGCAATCCTTGCTGTTCTGTGGCCTTTGCTGGTGATATCCAGGCAAACAGGGTCTGGAGTGGACCTCCAGCAAACTCCAGCAGACCTGCAGCAGACCTGCAGCAGAGGGGCCTGCCTGTTAAAAGGAAAACTAACAAACAGAAAAAGAATAGCATCAACATCAACAAAAGGATGTCCACACATAAACCACATTTGAAGGTCACCAACATCAAAGACCAAAGGTAGATAAATCCACAAAGATGAGGAAAAACCCTCGCAAAAAAAGCTGAATATTCCAAAAACCAGAACACCTCTTCTTCTCCAGAGGATCACAACTCCTCTCCAGCAAGGGAACAAAACTGGACAGAGAATAAGTTTGATGAATTGACAGAAGTAGGCTTCAGAAGGTGGGTAATAACAAACTCCTCTGAGCTAAAGGAGCATGTTCTAATTCTAACCCAATGCAAGGAAGCTAAGAACCTTGAAAAAAGGTTAAACGAATTGCTAACTAGAATAACCAGTTTAGAGAAGAATAAAAATGACCTGATGGAGCTGAAAAACACAGCATGAGAACTTCATGAAGCATACACAAGTATCAATAGCCAAATCAATCAAGCAGAAGAAAGGATATCAGAGATTGAAGATCAACTTAATGAAATAAACTGTGAAGACAAGATTAGAGAAAAAAGAATGAAAAGGAATGAACAAAGCCTCCAAGAAGTATGGGACTATGCAAAAGACCAAACATATGTTTGATTGGTGTACCTGAAAGTGACAGGGAGAATGGAACCAAGTTGGAAAACACTCTTCAGGACATTATCCAGGAGAACTTCCCCAACCTAGCAAGACAGGCCAACATTCAAATTCAGGAAATAAAGAAAACATCAGAAAGATACTCCTCGAGAAGAGCAACCCCAAGACACATAATTGTCAGATTCACCAAGGTTGAAATGAAGGAAAAAATGTTAAGGGCAGCCAGAGAAAGGCTGGGTTACCCACAAAGGGAAGCCCATCAGACTAACGCTGGATCTCTCTGCAGAAACCCTATAAGCCAGAAGAGAGTAGGGGCCAATATTCAACATTCTTAAAGAAAAGAATTTTCAACCCAGAATTTCACATCCAGCCAAATTAAGCTTCATAAGCGAAGGAGAAATAGAATCCTTTATAGAAAAGCAAATGCTGAGAGATTTTGTCACCACCAGGCCTGCCTTACAAGAGCTCTTGAAGGAATCACTAAATATGAAAAGGAAAAACTGATACCAGCTACTGCAAAAACATATCACACTGTAAAAACCATCAATACTGTGAAGAAACTGCATCAACTAAAAGACAAAATAACCAGCCAGTGTCATAGAGACAGGATCAAATTCACACATAACAATATTACCTTTGAAAGTACATGGGCTAAATGCCCCAATTAAAAGACACAGACTGGCAAATTGAATAGAATCAAGACGCATTGGTGTGCTGTATTCAGGAGACCCATCTCACATGCAAAGACACACATAGGCTCAAAATAAAGGGATGGTGGAATATTTACCAAGCAAATGGAAAGAAAAAAAAAAAAAAAAAAGAAAAAAAAAGCAAGGGTTGCAATCCTAGTCTCTGATAAAACAGACTTTAAACCAGCAGGCCGGGTGCGGTGGCTCACACCTGTAATCCCAGCACTTTGGGAGGCCAAGGCGGGTGGATCACGAGGTCAGGAGATCAAGACCATCCTGGCTAACATGGTAAAACCCCGTCTCTACTAAACATACAAAAAATTAGCCGGGTGTAGTGGCAGGCATTTGTAGTCCCAGCTACTCAGGAGGGTGAGGCAGGAGAATGGCATCAACCCAGGAGGCGGAGCTTGCAATGAGCCGAGATCACACCACTGCACTCCAGCCTGGGCAACAGAGCAAGACTCCATCTCAAAAAAAAAAAAAAAAAAAAAGGCCAACAAAGATCAAAAAAGACAAAGGAGGGCATTACATAATGGTAAAGGGATCAATGCAACAAGAAGAGCTAACTATCCTGAATATATATGCACCCAACATAGGAGCACCCAGATTCATAAAGCAAGTTCTTAGAGACCTACAAAGAGACTTAGACTCCCACACAATAATAGTGACAGACTTTAACACCTCACTGTCAATATTAGACAGATCAATGAGACAGAAAATTAGCAAGGATATTCAGGACTTGAACTCAGCTCTGGACCAAGCAGACCTAATGGACATCTACAGAACCCTCCACCCCAAATAAACAGAACATACATTCTTCTCAGCACCACATCACACTTACTCTAAAGTTGACCACATAATTGGAAGTAAAACACTCCTCAGCAAATGCAAAAGAATGGAAATCATAACAGTCTCTCAGACCACAGTGCAATCAAATTAGAACTCAGGATTAAGAAACTCACCCAAGACCACACAACTACCTGGAAACTGAAGAACCTCCTTCTGAATGACTACTGGGTAAATAATGAAATTAAGGCAGAAATAAATAAGCTCTTTGAAACCAATAAGAACAAAGACACAACGTACCAGAATCTCTGGGACACAGCTAAAGCAGTGTTTAGAGGGAAATTTATAGCACTAAATGCCCACAGGATGAATCAGGAACGATCTAAAATCAACACACTAACATCACAATTAAAAGAACTAGAGAAGCAAGAGCAAACAAATTCAAAAGCTAGCAGAAGACAAGAAATAACTAAGATCAGAGCAGAACTGAAGGAGATAGAGACAGGAAAAACCCTTCAAAAAATCAGTGAATCCAGGAGCTGGTTTTTTGAAAAGATTAACAAAATAGACCACTAGTCAGAGTAATAAAGAAAAAAAGAGAGAAGAATCAAACAGTCACAATAAGAAATGATAAAGGGGATATCACCACTGATCCCACAGAAATACAAACTACCATCAGAAAATACTACAAACACCTCTACGCAAATAAACTAGAAAATCTAGAAGAAATGGATAAATTCCTAGACACATACACCCTCCCAAGACTAAACCAGGAAGAAGTTGAATCCTTGAATAGATCGATAACAAGTTCTGAAATTGAGGCAGTAATTAATAGCCTACCAACCAAAAAAAGCCCAGGACCAGACTGATTCACAGCCGAATTCTACCAGAGTTACAAAGAGGAGCTGGTACCATTCCTTCTGAAACTATTCCAAACAATAGAAAAAGAGGGACTCCTTCCTAACTCATTTTATGAGGCGAGCATCATCCTGATACCAAAACCTGGCAGAGACACAACAAAAAAAGAAAATTTCAGGCCAATATCCCTGATGAACATCGATGTGAAAATCCTCAATAAAATACTGGCAAACCGAATCCAGCAGGCCATCAAAAAGCTTACCCACCACTATCAAGTTGGCTTCATCCCTGGGATGCAGGGCTGCTTCAACATATGCAAATCAATAAATGTAATCCATCACATAAACAGAACCAGTGACAAAAACCATATGATTATCTCAATAGATGCAGAAAAGGCCTTCGATAAAATTTAACACTCCTTCATGCTAAAAATTCTCAATAAACTAGGTACTGATGGAATGTATCTCAAAATAGTAGAGCTATTTATGACAAATCCACAGTCAATATCAAACTGAATGGGCAAAAGCTGGAAGCATTCCCTTTGAAAACTGGCACAAGACAAGGATGCCCTCTCTCACCACTCCTATAGTATTGGAAGTTCTGGCCACTGCAATCAGGCAAGAAAAAGAAATAAAGGTATTCAAATAGGAAGAGAGGAAGTAAAATTGTCTCTGTTTTCAGATAACATGATTGTATATTTAGAAAACCCCATCGTTCTCAGCCTCAAATCTCCTTAAGCTGATAAACAACTTCAGCAAAGTCTCAGGATACAAAATAAACATTCAAAAATCACAAGCATTCCTATACACCAATAATAAACAAACAGAGAGCCAAATCATGAGTGAACTCCCATTCACAATTGCTACAAAGAGAATAAAACACCCTGGAATATAACCTACAAGGGATGTGAAGGACCTCTTCAAGGAGAACTAAAATCACTGCTCAAGGAAATAAGAGAGGACACAAACAAATGGAAAAACATTTCATGCTCATGGATAGGAAGAATCAATATCGTGAAAATGGCCATACTGCCCAAATTAATGTATAGATTCAATGCTATCCCCATCAAGCTACCAGTGGCTTTCTTCACAGAATTAAAAAAAAAAAACTACTTTAAATTTCATATGGAACCAAAAGGAGCTCATATAGCCAAGACAATCCTAAGCAAAAAGTACAAAGCTGGAGGCATCACGCTACCTGACTTCATAGTATACTACAAGGCTACAGTACCCACAACAGCATGGTACTGGTACCAAAACAGATATATAAACCAATGGAACAAAACAGAGGCCTCAGAAATAATGCCACATATCTACAACCATCTGATCTTTGACAAACCTGACAACAGGCAATGGGGAAAGGATTCCCTGTTTAATAAATGGTCATGGGAAAACTGGCTAGCCATATGCAGAAAACAAACTGGAACCCTTCCTTACACCTTATACAAAAATTAACTCAAAATGGATTAAAGACTTAAATGTAACTAAAACCATAAAAACCCTAGAAGAAAACCTAAGCAATACCATTCAAGACATAGGCATGGGCAAAGACTTCATGACTAAAATATCAAAAGCAATTGCAACAAGAGCCAAAATTGACAAATGGGATCTAATTAAACTGAAGTTTCTGCACAGCAAAAGAAACTATCATCAGAGTGAAAAGGCAACCTAGAGAATGGGGAAAATGTTTGCAATCTATCCATCTGATGAAGGGCTAATATCCAGAATCTACAAGGAACTTAAACAAATTTACAAGAAAAACAAACAACCACAGAAAAAGGCAGTGGGGGGGTGGGGAGTGGAGATATGAACAGACACTTCTCAAAAGAAGACACTTATGCAGCCAACAAACATGTGAATAAAAAGCTCATCATCACTGGTCATTAGAGAAAATGCAAATCAAAACCGCAATGAGATACCATCTCATGCTAGTTAGAACAGTGATCATTAAAAAGTCAAGAAACAACAGATGCTGGAGAGGATGTGGAGAAATAGGAACACTTTTACACTGTTGGTGGGAGTGTAAGTTAGTTCAACCATTGTGGAGGACAGTGTGGTGATTCCTCAAGTATCTAGAACCAGAAATACCATTTCACCCAGCAATCCCATTACTGGGTATATATCCAAAGGATTATAAATCATTCTACTATAGAGACACATGCACACGTATGTTTATTGCAGCACTATTCACAATAGCAAAGACTTGGAACCAATCCAAATGCCCATCAATGGTAGACTGGATTAAGAAAATGTGGCACATATACACCATGGAATATTATGCAGCCATAAAAAAGGATGAGTTCCTGTTCTTTGCAGGGACATGGATGAAGCTGGAAACCATCATTCTCAGCAAACTAACACAGGAACAGAAAACCAAACACCGCATGTTTTCACTCACAAGTGGGAGTTGAACAATGAGAACACATGGACACAGGGAGGGGAACATCACATACCCAGGCCTGTCGGGGGGTGGGGGGTTAGGGGAGGGATAGCATTAGGAGAAATACCTAATATAGATGACGGGTTGATAGGTGCAGCATAGATACATGGCACATGTATACCTATATAACAAACCTGCATGTTCTGCACATGTATCCCAGAACTTAAAGTATAATAAAGAAAAGAATAAAAAAAAAAAAACAATAACACAAATAAAATAAAATAAAGATACAAAGAGAAAAAAATGACTTCCAGAAATTCCAAGGTACAGCTGAGAATGAAAACCACTGCCTTCCATCATCGCACCCGCCTGCCCCTTCCTTGTCTGCCATCCATTACTGTTTCTTACATTCCTGTTGAATTTGACCAGAATTGTTTCTTAAGTACAAACATTGTCTAAAGTGGCACTTTCTCTTTCCAGCAGCTCAGAGAACCCATTGCTTGTGTGCTGTCTCCTGAGATCCTGACTTGATTAGGTTTCCAAGGTTTTGTGTACATTGTGGGCACACACAATGAAACTGCCTAAAGACCAGAATTAAGTGCTCAGCAGTGACCCATGCAGACAGATGGATGTTCTGACCCAGCGATATCTACTTGGAAAGGGTTTGCAGCATGGCAGACCAGTTGGGGGGAAACTTCCATCACCCAAATTCAGAGGGCCTTTTATTTCCCCTAGTTACCTCTAACTCTCTCAGAACTTTTTCTAAAACAAAAGATACAGGAGGGAAAAAAATCAAGAATTTTATTTCATGCTTCTGCCTTTACAGATATTTTTTATGCCCAGGAACAGTGGCAACTAATGTTCCAGGGTATAAATATGTAAAATATTTTAAGATAGACACTGTTCTAAGATTCATGACAACACAATGGTCTGGTCAAAATAGTGTCCCATTTTACACATGAAGAAACTGAAGCTGGGTGCGGTGGCTCTCGCCTGTAATCCCAGCACTTTGGGAGGCTGAGGTGGGAGGATCACTTGAGGCCAGGAGTTTGAGACCAGCCTGGGCAACATAGTGAGACCCCAGGTGTGGTGGTATGCACTCATGGTCCCATCTATACAGGAGGCTGAGGCTGAAGGATCACTTCAGCCCAGCAGGCTGAGGCTGCAGTGAGCCATATTCACCCCACTGTTACTCCAGCTTGGACAACACAGGGAGACCCTGTCTCAAAAAAAAAAGAAAAGAGATAAAAGAAACTGAGGCACACAGAGGCTAAGTTGCCTGGAACAAATAGCTAGCCAGTGATAGTGAGCATTTGAATCCAAGCCACTTGACTCCAGAGAGAGCCTCTGCTCTTAGCCACTGTGATCTAGTGCCACTTACAGGAACACTAGTGGGGAATGAATTGGCTTAGAGGAGGGGTCCCCTGTCCCTGGGCCACAGACCAATACCAGTCCCTGGCCTGTTGGGAACTGGGCCGCACAGCAGGAGATGAGTGGCAAGTGAACAAGTCAAGCTTCATTTGTATTTGTATCTGCTCCCCATCAACTGCATTACCCCCTGTCAGATCCCCAGTGGCACTAGCTTCTCACAGGAGCGGGAACTCTATTGTGAACTGAGCGGGCGAGGGATCTAGGTTGCACACTCCTTATGAGAATCTAATGCCTGATGACCTGTCACATTCTCTCATCACCCCCAGATGGGACTGTCTAGTTTCAGGAAAACAAGCTCAGGGCTCCCATTGATTCTACATTATGGTGAGTTGTATAACTATTTCATTATATATTTGCAATGTAATAATAATAGAAATGAAGTGCACAATAAACGTAATGCACTTGCATCATCCTGAAACCATCCCCCTCATGCCCTGTGTGTGGTTTCTTCCATGAAACCGATCCCTGGTGCCAAAAATGTTGGGGACCACTAGTCTAGAGTAAAAATATTGAATGAGCATATAGTTACCGGATGTTCTTAAACTTTGTAATAGGAAGTGCAATGCAATACAGTGCACATGCGGGTGCTGGATGGATGAATGCGTAAATGTTATGGAGGGTGCTGAAGACAATGAATGCTTTCCTGCAAGAAGGAATACCGCTAACGTCCAAAGGGGCCGACCTTGAGCCACTGCCTCCCAGGGAGGAAAGCTCTTTATGTATCACAAAGAGACTATCTGGAGGACTTAGGCAATGTTAAGTATAGCTGAGGAAGAGTTGGCTGATATGGAAATAGAACCCCCCTTCCCCCGCCGAATGCTGCCATATTAACACCTACTATTTGGCCTCATGGTTGACCTTGCTGTGCCAGCCTGAGGGGGTAAGGTGACCTCAACGTCCCCTCTTGCCAGCCCCTGCTGCTTCCCTCCAGGGGATTTACAGGGTGCAGAGGGCATGACCAGGAATGCCATATTCAAGATGGCAATGGCGTGGGTGATAGTGTGCCTCCTCTAAGGGCCTGCCATCATCAGCTGGGACTACATAGCCAGAAGAAGCATTCTGCCCTGAGGGGAAGAATGGTACAACTGGTGCTTCCTGATGACAGCCTCCAGCATTGAATCCTTCACCCTCTCATCAGTGTCATTTACTTCAACTTGAGCATCCATGTAAGATTCAGAAGCGCACCTCCCTGAAGAATGACAACATTGCCTCCAGCCGAGACTGCGCAGAGATGAACTTCAGGGGAGAAAAAAGAAACACATGTCACAGTTTTTCTTAAACCGTGAGAGAGGAGGAGCAGGAGGAGAAGAGACCAGAGCCCCTCTCCCAGGCACCGGGGCTTTCCTTGGATGTCCTGAGACTCAAGATTTCTCACCTCTGCAGGTGGACCTGATAATCCTACGCAGAAGAACCGCTACAGGGCAGCGAGAACGCCTGCAATGGCAGCAGACAGCCGAGCCTCCCCAGCACGGCGTCTCCCGGGACAAATGAGCGTCCACGTCGCTTGACGTCATGGTGTGTGCATTTGTCCTGTGCTGGGCTCCCTACACTGCTCGTGATCATCGGAGCTGCCTGCCACGGGTCACATGTCCAGCACTTTCTCTATGAGACACGCTTCTGGCTCCACTGGCTGAATTCGGCTATCAGCCCTCTTCCGTACTCATTCTGCCACGAGTTTCAGAAAAGCATTCCATCAAACCGCTGTGTCCTGGAAAGGCTGAGCGAGATCCACCCACCCCCATATGTACATGTGACAGAAACTGCTCTTGTATTCTTAATGGTGGAGGCTGTCCAGGTTCTTGGCGTCTTGAACAAAGAATTGGACAAAACGCACAAACAAAGCAAGGAAGGAATGAAGTGATTTATTGAAAATGAAAGTACACTACACAGCGTGGGAGCGGGCCTGAGCATAGGGGCTCAAAGGCCCTGTTACAGAGTTTTTGTGAGTTTCAATACCCTTTACTTGGGGTACGCCCTATGTAAATGAAGAGTCTGAAGCAAAGTTACAAAGTCATTTACGGAGGACGGCCTATGGATGTCATAGCTGAAGTGTGAATTGGCCTTATGTTCCCTGCCTCCATACCCTATTTTCCTGCCTCAGTACCAGATCACCTAAACCCTCATAAAGGAAATTTTTAAAAATCTCAGGACACTCAAACTCCCTATGCCAAATGGAAAGTTAAGCCTCTGGCTGAGTCATGCAACACCCTCTTCCAAATGAACAGCTGTTACCAGCGTTACACATCAGCCAGATCCCCAGGGAAAGGTCAAAGGCCTCAGGCATCTCCAGATGCTTCCACAGATCATTCTTCAATATATCTGTAACCGCCCAATGGGTTCACCTTGCCCACTGTCTAGACAGAGCTGGTTTATCAAGACAGGGGAATCGCAGTTGAGAAAGAGTAATTCACACAGAGCCAGCTGCGCGGGAGACTGGAGTTTTGTTTGTTTGCTTTTTGTTCTGTTTTGTTTTGTTTTGAGACGGAGTTTTGCTCTTGTCACCCAGGCTGGAGTGCAGTGGCGCGATCTCAGGTCACTGCAACCTCCACCTCCCGGGTTCGAGTGATTCTCCTGCCTCAGCCTCCTGAGTAGCTGGGATTACTGGCACCCACCACCACGCTCAGCTAATTTTTTGTATTTTTAGTAGAGACGGGGTTTCACTATGTTGACCAGGCTGGTCTTGAACTCCTGACCTCAGACATCCACCCGCCATGGCCTCCCAAAGTGCTGGGATTACAGGCATGAGCCACTGTGCCCAGCCTGGAGTTTTATTATTACTCAAATCAGTCTCCCCAAGCATTTGGGGATCAGAGTTTTTAAAGATAATTTGGCAGGTAGGGGCTTGGAAAGTGGGGAGTGCTGATGGTTCAGGTTGGAGATGGAATCACAGGGGGTCAAAGTGAGGTTTTCTTGCTGTCTTCTGTTCCTGGGTGGGATGGCAGAACTGGGTGAGCCAGATTACGGGTCTGGGTGGTGCCAGCTGATCCATCGAGTGCAGGGTCTACAAAATATCTCAAGCACTGATCTTAGGTTTTACAATAGTGATGTTATCCCCCAGGAGCAATTTGGGGAGGTTCAGACTCTTGGAGTCAGAGGCTGCATGACCCCTAAACTGCAATGTCTAATATTATAGCTAATTTGTTAGGCCTACAAAAGCAGACTGGTCCCCAGGCAATAAGGGGGTCTTTTTGGGAAAGGGCTGTTATCAATTTTGTTTCAGAGTCAAACCATGAACTGAATTCCTTCCAAAGTTAGTTTGGCCTCTGCCCAGGAATGAACAAGGACAGCTTATAGGTTAGAAGCAAGATGGAGTCAGTTAGGTCTGATCTCTTTCACTGTCATAATTTCCTGTTATAATTTTTGGAAAGGTGGTTTCACATTCTTTACTGGACTCCCATAAACAAGGACAAGTCAATCGTAACTTCAGGTCTGCAATCCAAGTCTAGCTCCTAAAACTAAAGTCCGTTGGATTGCACACTGATTGATAATTTCCATTACGAGTGTATCTCCCCAGATGCAGAACAAAGATAAGATCAGCCATTCCTCCACTTACCCAGAGACATCTGTGTCATTGATTCTTCCTTTAATTCTCTTTTTCCTTCAAACACTCACCTTATCTATGTAAAATACAGAATTACTGGACACTAAAGTCTCCCAGGACTATAACCATTCGCTTTATTGCCTACCTGCCCTTCTTCCTACATGCCTTCCCTGTCCTCCTTTGAAGAAAATGTATAAATAATAAAACCTCCTGAAAACATCTTTGGAAAAACAGCCACAGATAGGCCTGTGGTTCACAGTTTTCCTAGACACGCCCCAAAGCTGGCTGAATAACCCTCAATTGATTGAGCCCCTGGCCTCGGTCACTCATTTCAGCTGTCACCCGCTATGATCCACGGAGGAAAGGGTCACAAACACTTCCCTAGGCCCTGCCACCAATTTCACTTTAGTCTTTGCCACAAGGAAACATGGAACCCATATAAGAAAGGGGCCCCTACAAGCTCCTTTAAAATGTGGTATATGCAATTGCCCTCCAGGGCTTTGTACTCAGAGTAGTCAACAGCATGGAGTTTAGGCTTATCAGAAATGCGGGCTCTCAGACCCCACTCCAGACTTGAATTCCAGAATCTGCATTTTAACAAGATTCCCAGGTGATTTGTATGTTTAAAAAAGTTGAAAAAGCAGTGGGGCCGGGCAGGGTGGCTCACACCTGTAATCCCAGCACTTCAGGAGCCCGAGGTGGGTGGATAGTTTGAGGCCAGTTTGAGACCAGCCTGGGCAATATAGCAACACCCCCGCCACCCCACACCCCTAAAAAGAAAAAGAAAAAGAAGCATTGTTCCCAGGGATCCGTAGGAAGATAAAATGGCTGAGAAAAATCATTCTGTACTACCCCATCTCCTGTGGAGACATCCTATTGAAGGCTTAAAATCACTGCAGCTCAAGTTTATGTTATTTTACCAAATTTCCACACAATATCCTTTTTTTTTTTCTTTTTTTTTTATTGATCATTCTTGGGTGTTTCTCGCAGAGGGGGATTTGGCAGGGTCATAGGACAATAGTGGAGGGAAGGTCAGCAGATAAACAAGTGAACAAAGGTCTCTGGTTTTCCTAGGCAGAGGACCCTGCGGCCTTCCGCAGTGTTTGTGTCCCTGGGTACTTGAGATTAGGAAGTGGTGATGACTCTTAACGAGCATGCTGCCTTCAAGCATCTGTTAACAAAGCACATCTTGCACCGCCCTTAATCCATTTAACCCTGAGTGGACACAGCACATGTTTCAGAGAGCACAGGGTTGGGGTTAAGGTCATAGATCAACAGGATCCCAAGGCAGAAGAATTTTTCTTAGTACAGAACAAAATGAAAAGTCTCCCATGTCTACTTCTTTCTACACAGACACAGCAACCATCCGATTTCTCAATCTTTTCCCCACCTTTCCCCCTTTTCTATTCCACAAAACCGCCATTGTCATCATGGCCCGTTCTCAATGAGCTGTTGGGTACACCTCCCAGATGGGGTGGTGGCTGGGCAGAGGGGCTCCTCACTTCCCAGAAGGGGCGGCTGGGCAGAGGCGCCCCCCACCTCCCGGATGGGGCGGCTGGCCGGGCGGAGGCGCCCCCCACCTCCCTCCCGGACGGGGCGGCTGGCCGGGCGGGGGCTGACCCCCCACCTCCCTCCTGGACGGGGCGGCTGGCCGGGTGGGGGCTGACCCCTACCTCCTTCCCGGATGGGGTGGCTGCCGGGCGGAGACGCTCCTCACTTCCCAGACGGGGCGGCTGCCGGGCGGAGGGGCTCCTCACTTCTCAGACGGGGCGGCCGGGCAGAGACGCTCCTCACCTCCCAGACGGGGTCGCAGCCGGGCAGAGGCGCTCCCCACATCTCAGACGATGGGCGGCCGGGCAGAGACGCTCCTCACTTCCTAGATGGGATGGCGGCCGGGAAGAGGCGCTCCTCACTTCCCAGACTGGGCAGCCAGGCAGAGGGGCTCCTCACATCCCAGACGATGGGCGGCCAGGCAGAGACGCTCCTCACTTCCCAGACGGGGTGGCAGCCGGGCAGAGGCTGCAATCTCGGCACTTTGGGAGGCCAAGGCAGGCTGCTGGGAGGTGGAGGTTGTAGCGAGCCGAGATCACGCCACTGCACTCCAGCCTGGGCACCATTGAGCACTGAGTGAACGAGACTCCGTCTGCAATCCCGGCACCTCGGGAGGCCGAGGCTGGCGGATCACTCGCGGTTAGGAGCTGGAGACCAGGCCGGCCAACACAGCGAAACCCCGTCTCCACCAAAAAAATACGAAAACCAGTCAGGCGTGGCAGCGCGCGCCTGCAATCGCAGGCACTCGGCAGGCTGAGGCAGGAGAATCAGGCAGGGAGGTTGCAGTGAGCCGAGTTGGCAGCAGTACAGTCCAGCTTCGGCTCGGCATCAGAGGGACACCGTGGAAAGAGAGGGAGAGGGAGACCGTGGGGAGAGGGAGAGGGAGAGGAAGGGAGAGGGGGAGAGGGAGAGGGACAATATCCTAATCAATCCATTTTATTCCTTGATAAGGCTCGCTGTTTAAATATATTCAACCCTTTTGTTTGTACTGTTGTGGGGTTTTTTTTGTTTGTTTTTGAGACAGTCTTGCTCTATTGCCCAGGCTGTAATGCAGTGGGGAGATCTCAGCTCACTGCAACCTCAGCCTCCTAGGCTCAAGCAATTCTTGTGCCTCAGCCTCTGGAGTAGCTGGGATTCAGGCATGTGCCACCACACTCAGCTAATTTTTTGTATTTTTAGTAGAGATGGGGTTTCACCATGTTGACCAGGCTAGTCTCAAACTCCTGGTTTCAAATTGATCCACCTACCTCGGCCTCCCCAAGTGCTGGGATTACAGGTGTGAGCCACCATGCCTGGCCTGTTTGTACTGTTAATGGAAAAAAAAAACTGTACAATATTTGTTAAAGGTTTATTCTGAGCCAATATGAGTGAGCACGGCCTGGGAAACACAGTCTCAAGAGGCCCTGAGAAAGTGCGCCTAGGGCAGTTGAGTTACAACTTTTCTTGTTTTTTGTTTTGAGACAGGGTCTCACTCTGTAGCTCAGGCTGGAGTGCAGTGATGTGACCACGGCTCACTGCAGCCTCGACTTCCCAGGCTCAGGTGATCCTCCCATCTCAGCCTCTCAAGTAGCTGGGACTGTAGATGTGCACCACCATGCCCGGCTAGCTTTTGTATTTTTGTAGAGATGCAATTTCACCATGTTGCCCAGGCTGGTCTTGAACTCCTGGGCTCAAGCGATCTGCCCACCTTGGCCTCCCAAAGTGCTGGGATGAACCACCATGCCTGGCCCACAGTTTGGTTTTTATATGTTTTAGGGAGGCAAGAATTGCAGATAAAATCACATCAATACATGGAAGGTATACATTGGTTTGGCCTGAAAAGGCGGGACGTTTCAGAGCTGCGGCTTACAAGTCATAGGTGGGTTTTAGGGATGCTTTAGTTGGTAGTTGCTTGAAAGAGTTAAGCTTCGTCTAAAGACTTGAAGTTAGTAGAAAGGAATGCTTAAGTTCTGATAAGGTGGGAGGTGGTCTGCTGTCAGTCATGCGATGCCTTATGAGAGTCAGGTTGGAAAGTAAGCCACATTATCCCGAGTTAATAAAAAACCCATTTAAATGAAGGTTTCATGGTTTGTAAGGTGTGACTTAACCCCTACCTTGCAATGGACTTAGGCCTTGTTTATAATTTAGTATCTTACTGCCACAGTGTTTTGTCAGTCTTACATTTTTTTCTTTCCTTTCCCCCCCAAATTCAAACAAGTGTCAGTAATGATTTTTTTTTTTAGATGGAGTCTTACTGTTACCCAGGCTGGAGTACAGTGGCACAATCTCAGCTGAAATGATTGTCCTGCCTCAGCCTCCCGAGTTCAAACAATTGTCCTGTCTCAGTCTCATGAGTAGCTGGGATTACAGGCGTGCACCACCATGCCTGGCTAATTTTTGTATTTTTAGTAGAGACAGGGTTTCACCATGTTGGCCAGCTGGTCTTGAACTCCTGGCTCAAGTGATCCACTTGCCTCGGCCCCACAAAGTGCTGGGATTACAGGCATGAGCCACCACGCCCAGCCAATGATCTATATTTTAACTTTAATACTGGTCAGTTGTGCCTAAACTCCAAAAGCAAGGCGGTACAATAGGGCGAGTCCAATCTCCCTTCTCATCATGGCCAAGAACTTGGTTTTTCAGGTTTCACGGGGGTCTCCTTGGCCAAAAGGGAGTCCATTCAGTCAGCTGGGGGGCTTAAGGTTTTATTTTTAATTGACAGTACTAGTATATGAAAGTATTCCATCACCTTTGTGTATGTAATTAAAGACAAGGCTTGAAAAAACAATGATAGAACCTGATTTCTAAAAATAGATCAGGCGGATTTTACATTTTACTTTTTTTCTTACCCTTCCTCTTTTATTTTTTTTCTTTCTCCCTTCCTGTGAGCGTGCATAGATTTTACATTTTACATTTGCAAAACCATACTAGAAGATACGGCTCCTTTCCAATGCAACGTCTCTGGGTAGGTGGAGGAATGGCTGATCTCCTCTTGTCTTTGCTCTGCACATGGGAAGATAAACTCGTAATGAACATTATCAATCAGTATGCAATTCAATGGACTTTAGTTTTGGGAGCAGACTTGAATTGCAGAACTGAAGTTACAATTGGCACATCCTTGTTTATGGGAGGTCAGCAAAGCATTTGAAACCACCTTTACAAAAATTGTAACTGAGGAAATTATGACAGTGAAAGAGATCAGACCCAAATGACTCCATCTTGCTTCTAACCTTTAAGCTGTCCTTGTTCATTCCTGGGCATAGGTAGAACTAACCTTGGGAAGTAATTTATAGTTTGACTCTCAAACACAATTGATAATACCCCTTTCCCAGCAGTTATGAAGCGTCCAAAGGTTTCCTTGTGTTTCTATTTCTCTAAGTGAAAATGGATTTAAGTCACAGCCTAAGATTTTACTTATTTGAAGACACTACTGATGCAAGCCTGAACACAGCAATGAGTGGTACAATATACAATCTGGCTGGGCAAGGTGGCTCATGCCTGTAATTCCAGCACTTTGGGAGGCTGAGCCAGGTGGATCACAAGGTCAGAAGTTCGTGACCAGCCTGGCCAACATGGTGAAACCCCCATCTGTACTAAAAATACAAAAATTAGCCAGGCATGGTGGTGCACGCCTGTAATCCCAGCTACTCGGGAGGCTGAGGCAGGAGAATTGCTTGAACTGGGGAGGCGGAGGTTGCAGTGAGCCAAGATCGCACCACTGCACTCCTGCTTGGGTGACAGAGCAAGACTCCGTCTCAAAAAAATAAAATATACAGTCCCTCTCCAGAGATTTTGGAAGCATGGACCATTTTGTTGGACAATGCAGGGTGCCCTACTGGAGTAATCAGCAATACAAGACCACAAGCCAGGAAACATTTGTCTTTAATCAAACCTAAGGCAAGTCACTACTCTTGGGAATTCAAGTGTATGGTAAATGTGTAGATACTGGCACCTGAATCAGTGTCTGTTGTCCATGCCTACAGCATCCCCATAGGACAAACCCCAGCAAACAGGAAGGTCTCCTGCACAGATTTCTCTACCTTTCATTTACAATATGCAGTCTGGAATTCCCATTGTCAAAGACAATTCTGTTGGGAAATCCTTTCTGCTTGAGCTTATTACCTTGAGGTCTCTGAATGAGAGAGCAAATGTTAACAGAAGACCCCTCTGGAACCTAGACTTTGTGTTTAAATCCCCTCAGTGCCTGTGGTGGTGCATTTATTCCTTGAGGTCTGTCACATTTCTCAATGCCTTTGAGAGCTGCACACGAACTGTACACAAGTGCTCATCATTCTCCTTCTAGGTGCTCTGGTGCCTGATCAACTCAAACGCCTCTCTCTTTGAGCAGTGTCTATCAGCAGGGGCTGTTTTTGCAGTTCATTAACCTGATGACCACCAATTTCAGGCTTGAGGATGAGTCAGAAACATGAATTTCTAGGCAAAGAAGGGATCATCTGGACTCTAAGAATCACTGGTTTCCTGGGTAGAGGCAGGAAAGGGAGGGTAGGAAAGTCTAACACGGCAGGCATCTCTCATCCAGTCACAGCATCTTCCTAGATGTGTCCCCCCAAACTATCCCCTAGTCTTGGAATTTAATGCCATTCAGCACCAAGCCTGCCCTGGTTCAGCGTTTCCATCCACCTGTGAGGGATTCCCCACCACACCCCAATTAAGGACAGGTACTTTTTTGTAAGACACAATAAAAATTACTAAAAAAGGAGAACAGGGAATAGCAGACACACAAAGCACAAAGCCAAATATTTATTACATCCAATAGACATAAAATTACTCTGTCAAATTGCTATAAAGGGTTTTAAATGCTAAGTCAATTTCTAAATATCTATTTCACTACAGGCAGCCAAGAGTATAACTTGCTTCAGCCCATGGGTCTGAGGAGCCTGGGACTGCAGGCCAAAGCACTGGCCTCAGAAGGCTAAATAAACTATTGGACTTGATGTTCCATGAGAATTCATACAACCCTCTGCAGAACTTCCCCATCCCCAATCCCTCAAAGCTCTTCTTCACTGCTCTCCTGCACAAACCCTTACCATCTTCTGTAACTACAGGTCTGTCTTCACAGCAGACTAACGTTCTTGAAGCTAGAGGCTATGATCTTCTTCACCTTTAGATTCAGTGCCTAACTATATCTGGTACCCAGTTTTTGTTCAACAAAAAAAATCTGTAAGTTAAGGATACTAGCAGTGCTTTTGTTTCACTTTTATTTACTTTTGTTGGTTTATTATTTTTAAAATTGGGTTTACCTCAACCCAGAAAATAAGAGATAATTTACACACTGTACTGACATTACCTTACTTGCAAACCAAGCTCTCCAACTCAAGTGTTCTTGACTCATGTCTTTTCTACTATTCCAGTTGTATTTCACAAAACATGTAAATAATATGGACATGTCAAGCCATAATCAGGTTTATACGGGGTAAACTAACACCTACAAAGAACAGAAAGGGTTTGCTGGACTATGACATACCACAGAATGGCTTAACATTTGATACATTTTAGTGGTACTAATTTTATAACTTTGGGAAACATCTGTTCATGTAAAGCCCAGCAAGGGCTAGTCATCAAGTGCTAGCAATGGGAGGGCAGATGGTGAGGGGTTAAGTGATGTAGTCATTTGAAAATGTCTATAAATTTTCCCTTTAAGAGGTGGAGCTTAATTCTCCTTACCCTTGAATATAGGCTAGACTTAGTGACTCCCCACTTACAGAATAAGGCAAAAATGAGCATGTCACTTCCACAGGGAGGCCACTGAAAGGCACTGTGGTTTCCTTCTTGCTTTCATACTCAGGGGAAAGCCAGCCACCATGCTGTGAGGACACTCTATGGAAGGGCCGTCAAGGAGAGGAACTGGGGCCTCTGCCCTCAAGGAAAGGAACTTAGGCCTCTGCCCTCAAGGAGAGGAACTGGGGCCTCTGCCCTCAAGAAGAGGAACTGGGGCCTCTGCCTAACAGCCAGGTCAGTGAGCAGAAAAGTCAGCCCCAGTCAAAGCATCAGATGACTGCAGCCCCAACCAGTATCTTGTTTGCAACCTTACACCACACTCTTTGCCAGAACCACCAGCTAAGCTGCTCCCAAATTCCTGATCCAGAGACCTGTGAGATAAATGTTTGCTGTTTTAAGACAGTAAGTTTTGGGATGGTTTATTATATAGTAGGTAACTAGTATCGGTGGTGAGCCTTTGGGGGGTTTATGTGAATTCATCATGCCTTGGGAAAAGCAGGGTAAAGTTGAGGAAAGAAAAGGGGTATAAATGACTAAAAGAGTAGATGCTGCCTTGTTCAACAAGTGCTTAAAACTAGAGTTAAGTGAGCTCTGTGAATATATGAGAATGACTATTAAACTCTATAGCCATACTACTAGTACTTTTTATCAATTAAAGATAGTATGAAAGGGGAAAAAAAGCTCCAAAATTGTTAATAGCATCTTTATTGTTTCACTGGTGCAAAAAAAAAAATCATAATTGTGATGCATTTCCTGCTAAATTTACAATGAAGGTGATACATAAATTATATAGATCACAAGTTTTCTTTTATACTATTTAAAACCCAATTATATTGATAAATATGTCCAGAGGACAACATGGGTTCTTAATGGATGGCTGAGTCCAAATATGCAAAATATAGCTTCTGGTTTTGACCATGGTGCTTTAAAATTCTCAAACATGCATTAATATATTCTAGTTTTAGGGAAAATCTTACACATGGCCTTATCTTGCAATTTAGGGGAAAGCCCAAGATGAATTTCACATACAGTATTCCTTTCTTCTAAATTAATCTCAAACTGGACTAGAAAACAAGAGACAGACGCTTTTGGGTTAGTACTCCCCAGGAATGAAGAAAATACACAATCAACAATGAAGCAAACAAACAAACAAAAAAAAGGAGAGCTTCATTAGTAGCCAAGATAAGTGCTTGTGGGTTTTGTGTTTTTTTTTTTTTTTTTTTTTACAGATCACAGGAATTTTAAATTGCAGATCAGTCATGCTACTTGGGGTGATCAGAAAGACTTGAACACTTACCAAGTGAATAATTTTATTAAGGTCCTGAAGGTGAGTGTCCGGAGGTGCTGGGTAAAACACATCACAGGTAAGAAATGGGAAACCTACCTCAGCATTTCTGAAAGGCACAATCTATGGAAGGGAAACCTAGCGTAATAAAACCCTCACTGGATGTACATGGAAAGGAGTATGGTGAGCTATTTCCTTTTTAAAGGATGAGACCTTCATAAATTGGCCCCTCGGATTCTGGTGATTCCCGCCGCAAGCGCAAATGCTCCAGTGTGTTATGAAAATGTTTGTTAATCTGCTCTGTTTCTTCACTGGATTCAAGATTCGGGAGGTCTTCTCGAATCTTTTGGATAAGCTGGTTTAAAACCTGAATTGTTACCTACAAAAGAATATGTACAAATTCATGATCAAGCACGTACCACAAAAAATGAAAGGCAATTTAATAAAACTGTTTTGAGGAGCTTCTGTTACACTCATCAATTACCTGAGTAATTATGAAAAAAGAAAGATGGGGATACAATTCCTAGTTTGAACAATTACTGACTATCAAAAAAAAAAAAAAAAAAACAACCCTTTAAAACAAGCAAAATTGGCTCGGCTCAGTGGCTCATCCCTGTACTCCCAGCACTTTGGGAGGCTGAGGTGGGCAGATCACTTGAAGTCAGGAGTTTTGAGACCAGCCTGGCCAACATGGTGGAACCCCATCTCTAGTAATAATACAAAAATTAGCTGGGCGTGGTGCCGGGCGCCTATAATACCAGCTATTCAGGAGGCTGAGGCATGAGAATTGCTTGAACCTGGGAGGCAGAGGTTGCAATGAGCTGAGATTGCCACTGCACTCCAGCCTGGGTGACAGAGCCAGACTCTGTCAAAAAAAGAAAAACAAGCAAAATTTTATTTAACTTACAAATCTTGACCAAAACTGTATTGCTAAAAGGATACTGCGTTTAGGAATTATTATTATTATTATTTTTGAGACGGAGTTTCACTCTTGTTGCCCAGGCAGGAGTGCAATGGCACAGTCTTGGCTCACTGCAGCCTCCACCTCCCAGGTTCAAGCGATTCTCCTGCCTTAGGCTTCCAAGTAGCTGGGATTACAGGCGCCTGCCACCACGCCTAGCTAATTTTTGTATTTTTAGTAGAGATGGGGTTTCACAATGTTGGCCAGGCTGGTTTCAAACTCCTGACCTCAGGTGATCTGCCTGCCTCAGCCTCCCAAAGTGCTGGGATTACAGGCATGAGCCACCACGCCCAGCCTAGGAATTATCTTAAACTAGAACATTATGACAAATTAGCCTATTATTTGACATCTGTAAATTATTTTACATTTTTCAAATGAACAGTGATTAAAGTATCAGAATGATAAACTTTTGTACATATCAAATCTCCTAAGAGTAGGAAGGGAAAATATTAGTTTATTAACAACACTTTACTAATTCACTTACCGCATCATTTTCCTTTTCATAAAAATAGATATATCTGTTCAGAATTTCTATAAAAAGCTGCACTTGTAGAGAGGGGTCCATGCACTGATTTGCTATTTTTAGAGCTTTTTTTAGGCACTCCATTACCCTCTTGCCTCCGTGAAGCTAAAATAAAAGGGCAGGGGGACAGTGAAGAGATTAATGAAACATCTCGTTTTCATACAAAGAAACACAACACTACCGTGGCTCTTTCGTGTTTTAAAGGGACATAACAAATTTAAATCCTTTTCATTCTCCTTCTTCTTGTTTTGAAGTATACAGCTGTATTTTTTTAAAAACAGGTAGTGGTTTGAACTTGCTATGTTACAATATCCTCAAAGCAGAGGCTTCACTACAGGATGAGACTCTCTTTTTTAACAAAACAAAGCAATTTTGTTCATCAGATTTCCAAGCACCCCAAATGTTTCACCTCCAGAACACAAGGCCATGACAACTGATCCCTGTTATGGATCCTGTCTGCTATCATGCAGTCAGGAATGACCTTACCTCCTCCCCATTTTTGTCCGTGTTTCTGCCAGACCAGAAGAGATGTGCACAGGTGCTCACAGCTCGGCCCTGATCAGGTTTCTTTAGAAGTTTGGATGCAGCAAGGGCACACTGAGTCCTCAGAGGTTCGTGATTCTCTTCACTGAAGCACTTCATCCTTTCAAAAGTGCCAATGATCAAGGTGATGGCAGCTAGCTGTGCTTTGGAATCGCTGATTTCATCTTCATACAGAGAAAATGCCTAGTGAACATAAAGCAGAAAGGACTTTCAAGGACCAACCATCCTCTAGTTGAGCATTTTCCAAAGTACTTGTCACCAAACCTCCATCCTGTGAGACTTCTGCAGCCTTCATATCAGAACATGCTGCACCCTCTCTTGAGAGCCACAGGACACAACTGAGATGGTAAAAACGCTAAAAAGTTGCAATAAAGAAACTTCTTTCAACTTTGTTTAACCCAGGGTTCCCAAACTGGATTTTGGGAATTGAGTGCATTTCCCGAATTTTATGTTCCATGAAACATTTTTACCATGACCCACTTGGAAATCTTAGATTTCATCAGCAAATGATCAACACCAGTCAATTACAACAATAATATTAACAGGTTCCATGATGGTGGGAAGGTGGTAGTTACACATTCAGTAAAAGAAGAGTAAATTCATGTGCATTACCACCATGCCTGCAAACAAGCAACTGAACCCAGCAGAGCTGACATGACAACGCAGAAAGAACAGATCATCACCTGGGACATGAATTCATATGCGACTGTCTCATGATTTTCAAAACCAATTTCCCCAGCAGCTAGTGCTCCTTGAAGAAAAAGTCTTAAGGGCAATTCTGCCAGCTCTGCTTTGATCAAAGCACTGATAGTCTGGTGGGCAAATGAAAAAATCTTCTGGCATTTCTTTTCCCATTTGTCATCCTAAAACAAGAAAAAACATTTTAAGTTACCTTAAATTCAAAATTAACTTGTTCCAGGATATCCATTTTAATAGAACAAAATACTGTAAGTTGTGTGCACAGTTTTCCTGTCATTTTCCTTCTCTGTTTCAGTTATAGGGCAAACAAGTAAATCAAGCAGGATGTCTTCTCAAAACATCATTTGAGGTTAAATTGCCTTTGCAATGTTAATGTATTTGGTATTTGTTTTTTCTTTTTGAGACAGAGTTTTGCTCTTGTTGCCCAGGCTGGAGTGCAGTGGCACAATCTTGGCTCACTGCAACCTCCGTCTCCTGGATTCAAGTGATTCTCCTGCCTCAGCCTCCCGAGTAGCTGGGATTACAGGTGCCCACCACCACACCCAGCTAATTTTGTATTTTTAGTAGGGGCGGGGTTTCACCAAGTGGGGCGGGGTTTCACCAAGTTGGCCAGGCTGGTAACTCCTGACCTCAAGTGATCTGCCCGCCTCAGCCTCCCAAAGTGCTGGGATCACAGGCGTGAGCCACTGCACTCAACCTGTTTTTTCTTTCCTTTTTTTTTTTTCAACAGCTCTGTTACCCAGCTGGAGTGCAGTGGTGTGATCACAGCTCATTGCAGCCTTGAACTCCTGGGTTCAAGTGATGCTCCCACCTCAGACTCCCGAATAGCTAGGACTACAGGCTTGCATCACCACACCTGGCTAATTTTTTTTTTTTTTTTTTTTTTTTTTTTTGTAGAGACAGGGTCTCATTCTGTTGCCCAGGCTGATCTTGAACTACTGGCCCCGAGCAAACCTCCCGCCTCAGCCTCCCAAAGTGTTGGGATTACAGGCATGAGCCATCACACCTGGCTGATAATTGTTTTTTCTGATTTGTAAGTTACATTCCCAAATTGGAGAAAATTAGAAAAATACACAAAATCATCCACACATCATCCCTAAATCTACCACCCACGGATAATCACTGGTAACATTCGGATGCTAAATGTCTTCCTTTCTTTTTTTCTATGTAACTGTAATATAACTGGCATTTTTGTGTGTGGTTTTCTTTTTTCTCTTTGGTGCGATCTCGGCTCACTGCCACCTCTGCCTCTTGGGTTCAAACCATTCTTCTGCCTCAGCCTCCTGAGTAGCTGGGATTACAAGCGCGCCACCACGCCCTGCTATTTTTTGTATTTTTAGTAGAGAAGGGGTTTCACCTTATCGGCCAGGCTAGTCTTGAACTGCTGACCTCAAGTGATCCACCCATCTCAGCCTCCCAAAGTGCTAGGATTACTGGCGTGAGCCACTGCATCTAGACCTTATTTTCTTGAGAGTTAAAATCGATTCACACTTCAAGTAATTTGTATCTAATTTTTCTTTTCTTTTCTTTTTTTTTTTTTGAGAAGTAGTTTCCCTCTTGTTGCCCAGGCTGGAGTGCAATGGCATGATCTCAGCTCGCCACAACCTCCGCCTCCCAGGTTCAAGTGATTCTCCTGCCTCAGCCTACCGAATAGCTGGGATTACAGGCATGCGCCACCACACCCAGCTAATTTTGTATTTTTAGTAGAGACGGGGTTTCTCCATATTGGTCAGGCTGGTCTCAAACTCCCGACCTCAGGTGATCCGCCTGCCTCAGCCTCCCAAAGTGCTAGGATTACAGGCGTGAGCCACTGCACCCAGCTCTAATTTTTCCTATTTTGTCCTAACAATCTTCCCGATACTAATTCGAAATCATTTTAATGACTAGAAAATATTATGGAGACTGGCTATGGCATAATTTATTGAACTATTCCCTTTTAGACATAATCTGTAATATTACAATGAATGTTCTATATACACTAAGCTTTATTGAGACCCTAATTATTCCCTTAGTATAAATTCTTGGAATTCCACTTGGAAGTAAAATTATTGAATATTTTAACACCCTACTTACACACCGCCAACTTCCTAGAAGTATTATAGTAATTCACACTGCCAACATTAGATGAGAATGAATTTTCATCACACCATCGCCATTGCTGAACCTTATTTTTCATTTCTCTTTGCCAATTTGATTTCTTAAAAGGTTCGCTGTTGTAATTACAAGCGAGGTTAAATATTTTATCATGATTGACTATCCAAATTTCTTCTTGTTAAAGCAATCAGTTCTTTTCATTTTTAAAAGATGGCGACAGGCTGGGCATGGTGGCTCATGCCTGTAATCCCAACACTTAGGGAGGCCAAGGAGGCAGGAGGATCGCTTGAGCCCAAGAGTTTCAGACCAGCCTAGGCAACATGGTGAGACTCTGTCTCTACAAAAAATAAAAAATTAGCCAGTGTGGTGGCACATGCTTGCAGTCCCAGCTACTCAGGAGGCTGAAATGGAAGGATCGCTTGAGCCTAAGAGTTCGAAGCTGCAGTGAGCCGTAATCATACCACTGTATCCCAGTCTGGGCAACAAAGACCTTGACTCAAAAAAAAAAAAAAAAGTGACAGTGGCAGTCATAGACCTTGGCACAGTGGGTGACAACACAGTAAGAAATGCTAGTAAATAAGTAAAGGCTAGTTACTTTTATTTATTTGCCCTAAATCGTTTTGATCCCCAGAATTTTTTTATCTTATAACTGAAAGTTTGTATTCTTTGGCAACTACTGTTCTAGTCTTTGCTTACACAAGTTCAACCATTTTTTAGTGACTGGGTCTCCCTCTGTCACCCAGGCTGGAGCGCAAAAGCACAATCATAACTCACTGCAGCCTCCAACTCCTGGGCTCAAGCTGTCCTCCTGCCCTAGCCTCTTTTTTTTGAGACAGAGTCTCACTTTGTCACCCAGGCTGGAGTGCAGTGGCGCGATCTCAGCTTACTGCAACCTCTGCCTCCCGGGTTCAAGTGATTCTCCTGCCTCAGCTTCCCAAGTAGCTGGGATTACAGGCATGTGCCCTCACACCTGGCTAATTTTTGTATTTTTAGTAGAGACAGGGTTTCACCATGTTGGCCAGGCTGGTCTCAAACTCCTGATCCCAAATGATCCACCCACCTTGGCCTCCCAAAGTGCTAGGATGACAGGTGTGAGCCACCACACCCAGCCCTGCCCTAGCCTCTTGAGTAGCTAGGACTATAGGCATGTACCACCACGCCTGGCTAATTTTTTAATTTTTTTTTTTTTTTTTTAGACGGAGTTTCACTCTTGTTGCCCAGGCTGAAGTGCAATGGCACGATCTCGGCTCACCACAACCTCTGCGTCCCGGGTTCAAGTGATTCTCCTGCCTCAGACTCCCGAGTAGCTGGGACTACAGGCATGCGCCACCACGCCCAGCTAATTTTGTATTTTCAGTAGAGACGGGGTTTCTCCATGTTGGTCAGGCTGTTCTCAAACTCCCGACCTCAGGTGAACCGCCTGCTTCGGCCTCCCAAAGTGCTGCGATTACAGGCGTGAGCCCCCACACCTGGCCTTTTTATTTTTTAATAGAGATTGGGTCTTGCTATATTACCCAGGCTGGATGAATTCAACTTAAAAAACAATTCTACATATAAATGAAGTCATATAGTATTTGCCTTTCTGTGTTTGGCTTATTTCACTTAGAACAATGTCCTCCAGATTAATCCCTGTTGTCATAAATGGCAAGATTTTCTTCATTTCTATAGCTGAGTATTATTCTACTATGTAGAGAATATGTGCGTACATACATATACACACATATATACGTATATACACACACATATATACACAACACAATTTCTTTACTCATCTATCGATGGACACTAAGGTTGTTTCCATATCTCAGCCATTGTGAATAATGCTGCAATAAACATGGGAGTGCAGATATCTCTTTGAGATACTGATTTCCTTTCCTTTGAATGCATAACTAGATGTGGGACTGCAGGGTCACATGGTAGTTCTAGTTTCAGTTTTTTGAGGAACCTCCATACTGTTTTCCATAATGGCTATACTAATTTATATTCCCACCAATAATAAACAGGGTTCCCATTTCTCTACATCCTTGCCAACACTTGATTTTCTGTTTTTTTGATAACAGTTATTCTGACAGATGTGAGGTGACATCTCATAGTGGTTTTGATTTACATTTTCCTGATAAATGATGTTGAACATCTGTTCATATACCAGTTGGCCACCTGTATGTCTTCTTTGGAAAAATGTCTATTCAGATCCTTTGCTCATTTTTAAATCAAGTTATTCATTTGCTTGCTATTGAGTTGCATTCCATATATATTTTAGATATTGACCACTTTTCAGATGTATAGTTTGCAAATATTCTCCCCCATTCCATTGCCTGTCTCTTCACTCTGCTGATTGTTTCCTTTGTTGTACAGAAGGTTTTTAGTTTATTAAACTTATTTTTGCTTATTTTTTGCTTATTTTAAACTTATTTTTGCTTATTTTAAGCTTATTTTAAACTTATTTTTTGCTTATTTTTAAACTTATTTTTGCTTTAGTTGCATAGGTTTTTGGTTTCATATCCAAAAAATCATTGACCAATGACAAGGAGGTTTTTCCCTATGTTTTCTTCTAGGAGCTTTATGGTTTCAGGTCTTTAATCCATTTTGAGTTCATTATTATATATGGCATAAGATGAGAGTCCAAATGCGTTCTTTTGCATGTGGATATCCAACTTTCCCAATACTATTTATTGAAGAGACCATTCTTTTCCCCTTTGTGTATTCTTGGTGTCCTTATCAAAGATTAGTTTATTGCATATGTGTGGGTTTATTTCTAGACTCTCTATTCTGTTCCATTGGTCTATGTGTCTGTTTTTATGCCAGTACCATATTACCATACTGCTTTAATTACTATGGCTTTGTAATGTAGGCTGGTTGCTATTTTTATTGTTATATTCACAAATTCCTATCCATAAACGCTGGTAAAGAGTGAATGATAAGCTGGCCTAATAAAAATTGGCCAAAAGCTGCTGTTTCATGCTGGTAGGTCTACTGCATACATCTTTTTTCTCTATTACGAGAAAATCAAGTCCATACTGAGGCCAGATGCAGTGGTTCACACCTACAATCCTAGCACTTTGAGAGGCTGAGGCAGCAGGATCACCTGAGGCCACAAGTTCGAGACCAACTGGTCAACATGGCAAGACCCTGTCTCTACTAAAAATACAAAAATTAGCTGGGCATGGTGGTGCACACCTGTAATCCCAGCTACTTAGGAGGCTGACACACAAGAATCGCTTGAACCCAGGAGTTGGAGGTTGCAGTGAGCTAAGACTGCGCCACTGTACTCCAGCCCGGGCGACAGAATGAGACCCTATCTCAAAACAAACAAACAAACAAAATTAAGTTACTGAGGTTGTTCCTTAACATTAACCTGAATGTCCAACTTTCAGGTACGTGAGCTTGAGGTATTTTCTTCAAAACTACACTGTGAAGACTCAAGCCATGGTTCCATTTTGAGGAAGAAAAAAGCTCATAAAAAGTTGCCCACAACTCATATTATTCAATGATATGCCTTTAGAGAGAAACGACTGCAATGCTAGGCCCTCTCCTTAGGTTTTAAAGCTAACCTGAATTAGAACTTAGGAAAGAGTTTCAGCATAAATTCACACTGCTTTAATCTTGCATTTCTAAGTGCTTTTTACGTGATCCCTCAGTATGTGATCCACCACCATCACCGTTAGGAACACTTAGCACAGGATAAGTAACAAATAGAGAGTTGGCGAAAATGGGATTTTATTATACCACTGTCTATTTTTGTACGTTTGAAATTTTTTATAATATAAAACAAACACACACACACTCAGAGTGATGAAAGAGGAAAAAAAGTACCTAAATACTTAAAAGTAAACTCACCACTTTAGAATTCTCTTTATATCGAAAAGCCAGCTGGTAAGCTGCAAATACCAAAGGTGGCAGTGTGAAGCGAATCCGCTGATTTCCACCAGCTCCAAAATGTTTTCGTGCTGTGTTCAAAATCTGACCCAAAAGCATTAAAGAAAAAAAAATTTCCAAACTCTGATTAATCATTTGTGAAATAAATGTGGGCTCTAATCATCATTGCTAACATTTTGTGAATATATACAATGTACCATACTTTATGGTAGGCAATTTACATATTTCTTATCTCCTCAAGTTGTCACAACAACCCAGAGACAGATACTATTCCATTTCACAAATGGGGAAGCCTGAGTTTCAGAGAGGTTGTATAACCTGCCCAAGGTAGCGAGTTAGAAGCAAAGATATATTTAAATATATTTTCATACACACATGTGCAAAGTATGCTGCACTGATAAAGAATGTAGGCTCTGGCCAGGTGTGGTGACTCATGTCTGTAATCCCAGCACTTTGGGAGGCCGAAGGTGGACAGATCAGTTGAGGTCAGGAGTTCGAGACCAGCCTGGCCAACATAGGGAAACCCTGTATCTACTAAAAATACAAAAATTAGCTGGGCATGGTGGCGCACACCCGTAATCTCAGCTACTGAGGAGGCTGAGGCAGGAGAATTGCTTGAACCCAGGAGATGGAGGTTGCAGTAAGCTGGGATCATGCCACTGCACTCCAGCCTGGGTGACAGAGCAAGATTCCATCTCAAAAAAAAAAAAAAAGAAAAAAGAAAAGAGAAAAAAAGAAGGCTGTGAAGATACTCAGAGACTCACATTTAAAAGCAGATGCTAATACTTATTACATGTGTGGCCTTGGGCAAATTATTTACCTTCTCTTAGCCACAAGTTTCTATAAACTCCTAGGGTTGTTGGGAAGATCAAGTGACACATGTGAAGGCTTACCACTACTTAGCACAAGGCATAAGCTCAGTAATATTAACTATTACTATGATACACAACAACTATATGCATATTACTGGTACATCATACCTCCTCATTCAAAAAAATTTTAAGACCATTTAAGTCAAGGAAAATGCTAACATACTTTAAAAGAGCTACTTGTGAAATATTCCATGAATTCTGTGTTTTTCTTGGATTTTTTTTTCTGAAATGGCACAACATATAGCCAATTCAGAAAAATTACAAGAAAAACACAGAGTTTATAAAATATTTTTAGTATATGTGACACAATGGCATTCAGGTTTTGTGAAATTCCTGATATGGTAGATGAATAAGAGAATGCATTTCCCCTAGGGGCAGTCAGAGCTAATGACCCTATCATTAAAGATCTCCATACATGGGAATAACCAATCAGCCACATGCAGAAGGCATAATTTTTTTTGAGACGGAGTTTCACTCTTGTTGCCCAGGCTGGAGTGCAATGGCATGATATCCACTCACTGCAACCTCCACCTCCCAGGTTCAAGTGATTCTCCTGCCTCAGTCTCCTGAGCAGCTAGGATTACAGGCGCCCACCACCACGCCCAGCTAATTTTTTGCATTTTTAGTAGAGATGGGGTTTCACCATGTTGGCCATGCTGATCCTGAACTCCTGACCTCAGGTGATCCATCCACCTCAGCCTCTCAAAGTGCCAGGATTATAGATGCGAGCCACCATGCCCCGCCGGAAGGAATAGTTTCTAACTACTATATTTGGTAGGCAATAGAAAATGAAAACACACAGATACAAACAATCTCACACAGAAACATAAGGCAATCAGTTAAAATACTTAAGACAGTCACTCTGTACAGATCACATAGCTCACAGAGCACAATACCACAGTCCTGGAATGTTTGTCACTAAACCAAGACAAAGACCATCACACTATCAACAGAAGTCAGCCTCTTATTTCACACTGATTATGAAGTACAGGTGTGTCAACTACAATGAAGAAAGTCAACAGAAAGGGATGAGACAGTCAGGACATCCTCAAGCAAATGTCTTTTTCATCATAGCAGCCTAATAGCCTTATGCATCCAAGAATGGTTAAACTACTTTGCCCAAACAATAATTAAGCAGCCAACTGTGCTAACCCTTCACTAAAATAAACTATCTATCTAGTATCGGTCACTGATACACCTACTCAGGCAACATGTTTTATCCATTTCACAATGATTCCCTGTGGACTAATAATAAAGAGAGAACCTCATGTGATTGTTCTTTATCAGAAAAAAAAAAGTTAAGAAAAAGGCAAAATGAATTTTTAAATCTTTCATCAAAAAACAAAAACTCACATTTTCAATATGACAAATATAATTTATACTTGCAAATTTGGAAAAGTAAAATTAAATATAAGAATTGTATTTCTTATAAAGTTTATTATAAGCAATACATAGTTCAGAAAAAATGAACATGGAATAATTATCGGCACTCAAGCAAAAGAAGACAGACTTTTTTGTAATTCTCAGAGAGTCTTCAAAAGAAATCAGAGCAACTGAATTGTTACTCACATGCTCCAGAAGTTTACAAACAATTATGTGTTTATATATAAAGTAAAAGCCCATGGATGCCATGAATCTTTTTTTTTTTCGAGATGGAGTCTCGCTGTGTTGCCCAGGCTGGAGTGCAGTGGCACAATCTCGGCTCACTACAACCTCCGCCTCCCAGGTTCAAGTGAATCTTTAATTCAGTTGCAATTCCTTCAAAACCATCTAAGACCAGAAAGTGAATTAAACCATTTTAAGCACTTGAACATGTGATTTCACTAGGAGCTGATACAGGGATATACTAAGGGTAAACTCATACCAAGTACTGCTGGTCAGGGTCCTCAGAGCGCAGCAGATGAATGAAGCGGCCCACAAGGCTCTGCTCATCAGCAAAATCTTCTGGATCAGGGTCTTCTACAGGTTGATCTGGCTGATCTTGAATCAACGTGGATACCAAATTCATTATGGAATCCACCTGTAACATGCGAGGCACAAGAAACCCACTGAGGTGAAACCATTGGCATACAAAGCCATTATCAAAAGTGTTTCCAGTTATAAAATTACAATACAGTATCAACAAGATATTCCTTTTTTTGGTGAGAAAGTCGATACACATGTATGTCATACACACATATACAGACAAAAGTCTGGAAAGATATGCACCAAATGTTAATTAACAGTGGTTATTCTCTATCTGGTGGAATTATAAATGTTTTATAATTCTTTATACATCTCCAATTTTTAATTTATATAATGAAAAAGTTACTTGTAAATTTTATTTAGTATTGAATTACCCTCCCCTCCCATCTCAGGTATCTAGGTCCAAAGTCTAAAATTGTAACACTGTTTCCCTAAAATAGCACGTAGGTATTCTCTTACCTGGTCTTGAGAGACAATTTCTGTGTTATAATCCAGAACATTACTAAGCACATAACAACTCATGCTCTTTCTGGACTCGTAGTCAAAGTACTCAAAGAGTGGGTGAAAATGTTTTAATTTCAAGACTGTTAAAATATTGTTGTAAGTGTCAACTGGTATTTTCAAAAGTCTGGTGAGTTCCTTTGAAACTGCACTACTGGTAGCAATACTACAAAAAGAAAAACAGAAGTCTTAATGAATAAAATTAACTTTCTATATACACAAATAGCATTTGTTCCATAAGAATTTGAAATTTTTCATTACACATTAAAGGAAATGGGTCAAGTGAATCATACCACCACAGAAGACTATAACAACCTCCTTTCAGGAGGATAAAAATGCTTATCTAAACACAAATATATATTCATCTATTATTTTTCTGTTGATACAAAACTAGATACAGTTTCCAACTCATGAACAGATGGTATAGCTGGAGTTAAGATGACTGTCTAGAATTTGATGACATTTCTAAGGGAAGTATTTTAAGTGGTAGTTTGGTTCCCAGGGGCCAGCCAACAAGTATTGTATATTCATGATGAAAATAAATAGGAAAAAAACTCCATGCAAAACCAGCAATTTGACACAACAGAAAAACACATAAACTATTTCTTCTGCATCAGATGTTGGTGATTAAGGAAAAGCAGGCTGACTGACTTTTACGTAGTTGTTAGTAAAATCATTCTGTAGATATTGAGGCATATTGGGGCATTTATTACAACCTCTTTAGAGGTTGTTATTTCTAATTACTTTGTCTATTTTTACTTTAAAATTCACTTGGGGAGAAAGACACAGATACATCATTTAGTTTTTTTAATTTAAATTTTTTTTATTTTTAATTTTATTTTTTATTAGAGACGGGGTCTCGCTATGTTGCCCAGGCTGTTCTCAAACTCATGGACTCAAGTGATTCTCCCAATTCAGCCTCCTGAATAGCTGGGATTACAGGTGCAAGCCACCACACCTGGCACATCATTTAATTTTCTCTCACACTTATCATTCCACATCTGGACTTGTTTTCAGTTTGCACACACACAAAACCAAAAATGACCAAAAGAACAAGGGTAACACAAAGGGAGGAAAAAAAGAAGAAATTTTCTTGATGCAGGTAAACCACTGGAAGGGAGATAGAAAGGAGGAAGATTACATGAGGTAAAATTCTGAAGAATATGTTGGCGGGAGGCAGGCCTGGCTTGACCCAAGCCAGAGCAGTGGGGAACAGGGCAGGAAGGGAACTGCTGGGGAAGGTAACAGGATCATAGCTGCCCATAGTGGCCACTAGAGGACGCCATAAGTCTAGGACAGAACAGCTGAGGAGGCTTCAGGTTGGAAATAGTACTGTTGATATTTCCTTTAAGGTATCAAAATCAAAGCTCAAAATAGAAAAGATATTTAAACCAATTTAATTCTGCACCTTAAATATACATAGCCCCTCATTTTTCACCATGTGCTGATTCGTAGGAAAACACCACTTATGGAAATAAATACTGCCTGACAAAGTTTCCTTACCAGTTTAAGAACAAACTCAGTCACATGCAAGCTTGTCCAACCCAAAGCCCACAGGCCGCATGCAGCCCAGGATGGCTTTGAATGCGGCCCAACACAAATTCGTAAACTTTCTTAAAACATTATGAGTTTTTTTGGGATTTTTTTTTTAAGCTCATCAGCTATTGTTAGTGTTAGTGTATTTTATGTGTGGCCCAAGAAAATGCTTCTTCCAGTGCAGCCCAGGGAAGCCAAAAGATTGGATGCCCCTGACACACAGAAAGGGATCCAAATTGGAGACACTGGTCCCTGAAGACTGCCTATGGTCCATAGGTACCACAATTTCCTTAATATAAAAAAACAAGTAATTGGTCACTACTTTCTGCCCCTAGTAGTGCTAAGCATGACAATCTTAATGCATGATTAAAACAAGACAAATGCCAGCAGTTCAAAAAACAATTGAGAAAGAAAAGCAAATCTAGGACAAAAATATCTTTGAGGATTTTTACAAAAATGTAACTGACTTACTGTTCAAGGTTGAGCTTATTGAATATCTCCACTGTTGTTTCTAGAACTTTATCAACATAGTCCACACGATCAGGGTAACATTTCATGGCAAGATTAATCAGAGAGACTTGTAAAGATACAACATCCTCTGAAGGCATGTCTTGTCTAGACTGGAATGTTTAGAAAACCACACAATTTATTTTAAACAATTGTAAAAGGAAGGCAGAGAAGTTTCAAAGTTTTGAGAACTTAGGAGAAATGCTACACAAACCTGTATCACTGTAGCCACCTGCTGTGAAAATATATCAAAAAGTTTAATATCCGCTGGGATTCCAGGTCCATCTTCACGGTGAGCAAATAAAGCTAATCTAAAAAAAAAAAAAACACCCCTTTATTTTAAAAGATACAGGGTTTGGGTAGTGAGATCATGGATGACATCTTATTCTTTATTGCTTTTCTATATTTTGTATGAGCCCAAAAGGTTTTTGTTTTTTTTGTTTTGTTTTGTTTTGTTTTGAGACAGAGTCTCGCTCTGTCGCCCAGGCTGGAGTGCAGTCACGCACTCTCCACTCAATGAAACCTCCACCTGCTGAGCTCAGGCTATCCTCCTTCCACCTCAGCCTCCTGAGTAGCTGGGGCTAACAGCATGTGCCACCATACCCAGCTAATTTTTGTGTTTTCTGTAGTGATGGGGTTTCACCATGTTGCCCAGGGTGGTACTGACCTGGACTCAAGCAAGCCTCCCTCCTTGGCCTCCCAAAGTGCTGGGAATACAGATGTGAGCCACTGCACCCGGCCTCCTCAATTCATTTTTAACTAAACAGTTTTGCCAATGAAACCTTTTTCATCAGCATTCTTATTTCACACCATATTAAGTAGATTTTCAACAAGATAATTCTCTCAACTCTTTGAAGCATAATTAAGCAGATATGGACAGAAATGCATTAAAGTGACAAATGTATTCAACAACCATGATTTAAATAAATAACCTTTAAAAAATAAAAGTACATAGACTATTTTAAGATACTGCATTTTTACTAAAGCTTGAAATACAACTAAGTCTAAAATTCATAAAATTAACTTTTATTTCCCACATCTTAAATTACTCAAAATAGTATGTTTCATTATCATTATCTGTTTGTCAGTCACAACTACATCCACATTTTGCTATGCCCAGAAGCATCACTACTGACAGAGATGTGTAAGTGACATTACAGGCAACTCAGGAAAATCCAGTTACTAGCTTCCTTTAAGAGTGGGCCCAATAAGTATGGAATTTTTGCTGCCCAGGATTGAGCTGACAATTTGGAAAAATTTGTTATCTAAATTCTCAGACTTTAAAACTAATAACTTAGTTTTTTAAAAAACATACAAAAGGTATCTGCAGAAATAAATCTTCTCTTAGGTTTCTGGTTTCATGACAATGCTTACAAGTGTAGGACAGACATCATATACTACTACATAACATGGCTGCAAAAAAGCCACCCATTGGCCAAGCGCAGTGGCTCATGTCTGTAATCCCAGCACTTTGGGAAGCTGAGGCAGGCAGATCATTTGAGCTCAGGAGTTTGAGACTAGCCTAGCCAACCTGGCAAAACCCTGTCTCTACTAAAAATACAAAAATTAGCTGGGCTTGTTGGTGCATGTCTGTAATCCCAGCTACTCCGGAGGCTGAGACACTAGAATCACTTGAACCTAGGAGTCAGAGGTTGCAGTGAGCCGAGACAGCGTCACTGCACTCTAGCTTGGGTGACAAGAGTGAGGATCTGTCTCAAAAAAAAAAAAAAAAAAAAAAACCTAAGAAAATAAAAAAGTGGATGTACTAAACATATTTGATACTTAAAATTTTTTCTTTAAGAAAATGTGATGATAGAGTGATTACTTGAACATTTTCAATCATCAGTATCTTACGGCTACTCTAAATCAAATGAGTTCCCACTGCAAGATACTTACATCATGGTAAAAAACAAATTTTGTTCTTCAATATGATCTTTGGATTTGTATGATTTAAAAAATAAGTCTGTACAACATCTTTAAATGTCAATTAAGCACACAGAATAAAGATATTCATTATCTTCACGTCTCCTGCACATTTAAGTTAAGCCTCTTTCATGTCTAACCTAGACAAGTACCTAGTACTCATACTCACAAAGCTAAATTATTTATAGTATAATTAAATTAAGATCATTGGTATGATAAAGATGTAACAGAAACAAATAATTCAAAAAAATGTTTAAAATTCATTATTCCCAAGTCAGAGCATTTATCCGCCAGTGTTGGAAGGTCTTACCTATCAATTAAAGCAATGATTATGTTCTTCACATTTACATTCTGGTGTAACTCAGCACAGGCCCGAAGAAAAGGATTCAAAGTCTGGAGGTGAAATTCATCAGGGAAAACCTGAAAATCAAATGATCAATACAAATAAAAGTATTTCACGTAATATTCTGGACTCACATATGGTAAAGTTCACATTTGTGGGAAAAAAACACTGTATTCTTATACAACTAAATTCAAACACATTACTTTTGAACCTCTCTACTAAACATAAGCTCAGACAGAAATATTCCAATAAACAAAGTGCACCTACAATTAAACTAAAGCTACAGAGACCTAGAAAACTCAGATTACTCATTCCTACATTTTGGAGGAAAACAAACCACATTGATACAAAGACCAAGGTATAAGTTAGAAACAGAAAATTCCTATTTTTAAATTATTTTTAGAAGAAGCAAGATTACATGAAAAAAAAAAGAAACACTAAAAAAATTTTTTTAATTTTTTATAGAAACGGCATCGTGCTATGTTGCCCAGGCTGGTTTTGAACTCCTGGCCTCAAGAGATCCTCCCACCTTGAACTCCCAAACTGCTGAGATTACAGGTGTGAGTCACCACACCCCGCAAGGAAAACTCTTTATTCAGGAAAGCTTATTTCCTATTCCATCAAAATTTTTTCAAAACAATTAAATTTAATGAAAGATAAAATAGGTCGTTTAAAAAAAAATGAAATGTTCCCAGCTACCTGAATAATACACTCCATGAGATATTCTTGAGCCAAAGCATCCCTACAGTTTACAACTTGCTCCAATATGCCAGTCAAAACAATCTAAAAGAGAAAAAACACACATAAGGGTTAAAATCTGTTTTCAAAATCTTAAGCTATTCCTCTAGTAACGCATTTGAACTACTAACTTGAAAATCGTATTTGAGATTTTTCTCACCAAGACTTCACTTCTAAACTTTAAAAGCTTTTTTCTTTTTGAGACAAGGTCTTGTTCGGTTGCCCAGGCTGGAGTGAAGTGGCACAATCTCCACTCAATGCAACATCCACCTCCTAGGCTCAAGTCATCCTCCCACCTCAAGCCTCCTGAGTGCTGGGACTACAGGTACGTTCCACCATGCCCAGCTAATTTTGGTAATTTTTGTAGAGATGGGGTCTCCCTATGTTGCCCAGGCCTGTCTCAAACTCCTGGACTCAAGTGATCCATCTGCCTTGGCCTCTCAAAAGTGAGCTTTTTTCTTCATGGCTTGTGCTTGTATATCCTCAGAAATCTTTGTCTAATCCTAGGTCATAAAGATTTCCTCTGTGTTTTCTTCTAACATTATTAGGTTCTATATTTAGGTCTCTGATTGATTTCTGTGTTTTTTCTATATGGTATGAGGGATGGGTCAAGGTTCAGGGTTTTTTGTTTGCATATAAACATCCAATTGTTCCAGAATCACTTGCTGAAAAGGTTGCCTTTGTACTTTTATCAAAAATAACTGATCATAAATATCTGGGTCTATTATGGATTGTCCAGTCAGAGATCGGTAAACTGAGCTGCTGCTTGTTTTTACAAATAAAGTTTTACTAGAACACAGCCATGCCCATTCACTTCCATATTGCCTGTGGGTGCTTTTGCACCATATCTGCACTGTTATTAGTTGTAGACTAGGGTGTCCAATCTTTTGGCTTGAAGAAGAATTAGAATTGTCTTGGGCCATACATAAAATACACTTAGCTGATGAGCTTTAAAAAAAAAAAAAAAAAAAAAAAAAAAAAGCAAAAAATCTCATGTTTTAAAGTTTACAAACTTATGTTGGGCCATATTCAAGGCTGTCCTGGGCTGCAGGTTGGACAAGCTTGTTGTACAGCACATGTCTTACAAAGCCAAAAACCATTTATTATCTGGTCCCTCACAGGTAAAGTTTGCCATTCCCTGTTTTATTCCCCTCCATTGATTTGTGTGTCTATCCTTTTCACCAATACCACACAGGATCTCACTGCAGCTTTAGAGTAAATCATTAATTCAGGTTGCTTGGGTCTTTCAACTTGTTCTTCCTTTTCAAATTCGTTGTAGCTGTTCCAGGTTCTTTGTTTCTTCATATAAACTTTAGAATCAGCTTCTTAATTTCTACAAAAGTCTGCTGGGATTTTGACTGAGATTACATTGGATCTATAAATCAATTCTTTTTAAATGCTATTTTGACAATATTAAGTCTTCCAATCCACAAACACTGCATATATATCTTTCCGTTTAAGTCTTCTTCAATAACAGCCATTTTAAGATGTTTTTCAATGTACTATTGTATAACAAAAATATTCTGATTTTAAAAATCAGATTTCAGTTTATCTCTGAACATAAGAAGAGGTAACAAAAATATATAAACCTGTTTGTAACGTTCCACATTTACACCTTCCAACTGACTGAGGCGCACCAAATTTGTTCCCACTAAAATTCTCAGTTCTTGTCTTTCTCGTTCTCTTTTTTCTCTATCTCGGCTATGTCCCTGATGCTGCATTCGCACCCAGAGCTTGTTCATTTCTGCAAAGTTGAGCAGTACAAAATCCATGGAATCACTGATGTCACCAGTTGTTTCTTCACTGCAAAGAAACAGAAAAGTCTTTACACAGTATTTACAGGACCAACTTACTACTATCCTTCTCCTTTGTGTATTTCCTACTTATCTCTATAGTACACCAATGCTTTATAAAAAATCACTTTCAACTTCATTGGCTTAGTGTTAAATTTCAAAGGGAACAGACTCTAGGGTAAAAAGTACCATGGAGAGGACAGTATAAATTTAAAGGGCAAATTACTTTCCCCAACTCCTCATCCTGGGCCAACTGGACTTGCTCTTATGGCAACTTCCTTAATTGAAAAAGGCTAGAAGGATGGGCATGGTGGCTCATGTCCGTAATCCAGTGCTTTGGGAGGCCAAGGCAGGAAGATCGCTTTAGGCCAGGAGTTTAAAACTGGCCTGGGCAACATAATGAGACCCCATCCCCACAAACCAAAAACAAAAACAAAAGGCTAAAAAATGTAACACTTATGGTGTACTGCTAACTACATCATTTTACTGTTGAATATTTTGTTTTTAATTGGAATGTAAGCTTTGTGAGGGAAGAGACCATGGATTTCCTGCTTTATTTTTCTACGTCTCCTAGGATGGAGACCTCAGTACCTTTCAAAAATTGTTATTGATTGCCTAATTAAATGCTCAAAACGGACACTCAAAACATAATAAAGCAAGTAACTTCATCAATTTCTCTACATTGTTAAATGTTTTATCTTTTCTGTACTGTTTTAAAAGAAATTGATGCAGATATATTAAAAAACATTAGAAATAAATGATATATTAAAAACCTTAGAAATAAATGAAAATATTAAAAAGAAAAAAACAAAATCTGTTGGGGCAAACTGAAAAAAGATTAAAAATTAAAAAAAGAAAGAAAATAAATGAATAAACTTTTTAAAAAAGGAATGAAGTTCTTTAATCTGGGGACCTGTCATGTGAACAGCTCACCCCACTGAAGACCACAGTTGGCTGACCATCTGCCCCTGCTGTGGGATAAAAGTACAGTAGACTTTGATGCTAGAATACTGATAACACAAGAGACAGGAGTGTCTCTGAATGGCTTTTATTTTTCCTTCTCTGGAGTTAATAGCTAACTCGTAACAGATAATTCAAATCACTTATATTCCAAGGTAACTAGCAGTCTATAAATTATAAAAACTGATAGACACTAAAGGAACAATTATGAAATCCAGCTGGCTCACACTTTATTATTTCATTACAAATTCAATTTCCAAATACAACTCTCTTAAAAAAGTTTTATTTTCAAAGAAGATTTAATGTAGTAGAAAAAATTACATTAAATGAAAAAAGCAGGTCCTAACAATCCAAAGATAAAATTTGCATAAGAGTACATTTTAGATGATACCACATATACTGAGGAGTTCTATATTACAAAGGAAATCTATATACAAATGCTACCTAAATGGCTGACTGGGTGGAAGAATTATTCACACTTTGTTTCTGTATATGTTTCCACACTTTTATACATTCTACAATGAAAGAAATATTGCAACAAAATTAAGAAAGAAAATCACTTACTCTGTTGGCTCTCCTTCATCAGGTAAGATATTTCTGGTACACTGAAGAAGGTAATTTCGAAGAAACAGACCCCTCAAGGGATGTTGCACACCACGGCACATTTCTACCAAATCTTTCAAAATATCCTTCCTGGACTGAGGAAATGACTTGACATATACAACTCCAACTGTGATCAAAAGGTAACTAGGAAAATTATGAAGAAATGCTGATTAGAAATAAAATATTCAAATCAAGAATTTATTTCCAAACACACTGAACAAAACATTAAATAAACAAGACAGGAACCATGTTGTTTTCTCCCGCATGACAAGGAAAATATCTCATTTAAAATATAACCACTGACTGACCTCTAAAAAAACTATACACACACACACACACACACACACACACACACTGTATATATACAACATAGATATTACCTTTAAACATATTAGGAAGAGAACAATTATATTAATTTTTCTAATAGTCAAGACATTAAAAAAAATAGCAAGCATGTCCATTTTTTCTATTTCCAAAATTCCTCAAATATCTACATAAAACGTAAATCTAGTTACTCTAAAACAAGTAAGAGAATATCTACCAAAATGTTCATCTCAATTTGTTAAGAAGTTACCCTTAAAACTTTTTCTTAAGCTGATAATCATAAAAGACGTAACATATAGTGAGAAATACAGACACAAAAGTTCTCTGATTTGTAATTACTTACAGCCTTGGGATAATGTTTCCAGCATACTGTACAAGTTCGTAGAGATCTGCCACTTTCCTTCCTTTAGCAAACTCATCTGTCAGGTAGACCTCCAAGTAGTGCAGTTCATCAGAAATGGCCATATCTTTTAATTATGATTAAGGACTAAAAATAAAAATAAGCCAACCTAAACAAAACTTTGAAACTTGTTGGAGTCATTACTAACTACTGGGCAGACATCTTAAGTTTTAGTCCTTTAAGAAAGTGTTCAAGCGAAGGATGAATTTTAGCCGGACTTTTCTTACTTTAAAATAAGGGTTTTAAAGCATGTGTGGTCAAGCAAAGCAGTAAATACAATGGTTACCTGTCAGACTGCTAATGGGTTTTGAAATGGCAAATGATTAAATTCCTGTCCATTTGAGACTGCTGCATAACAAAATCTAAGTATTAAAGAACCAACTGTGTCATAGCCTAAATATCCTCATGAAGGGTCTGAAAATTGAGATGCACCGACAACACATTTAAAGATGTTTAAGCATAGGAAAGGAGTACTCTCAAAGTGTTTTTCTCACTTAGCACATCTGCATGGAGAAGGAGTGCCATGTGACTCAGATAACGAAGAATAAGATAACTCCAGAAAAACTTCATAAAGAACAAACAAAATAGGCCTTATCAAGAAAAAGGTATGGTCCAAATGTTTAGTCTTCAACATTCAAAAGATACAAAGTTCATAGTAACTCTTTGGTGATAACATAGAAGTCCGGAGTTCACCAAGCATATTAGAAGCATGTTTTAGAGCATCCATAAGCTTGTTTTTGTCCTACAGAAATACCAAGAGAATAGATGAGAATGCTTAATTTAAATAAACATTTATCTTGGTTGTACAAATTCTTTACATCAAGGACTTGTTACATAGTTTTAAAAGAATACCGCACTTAAATGATTTTAACCACATTAAAAAAACAACTTAGATCGGTTCACCTTGCCGTCTCTACTGAAAAAGAAAAAGATACATGATTCTTAGTAAGACTTAACATAGCTAAGACTGCAAGCTTCTTGATAGAATGCTAATCTTTTCAATCTATAGAGACTAGGAAACTAGCTCCATTCATCACATTTTACCTGCAATCAAGAGAACTGGCATACTGATTCAGGTGAAGGAAGATACTATCCTGACATGGCTTTGTCATGGGTTAAAGACTCTTCAGAGCTGTCTGAAATGACTATCCATGTAAGTTTGCTTTCCTCTTGCATTCTTCAAGCCCTCACAATGCCCATATGTTCCACTTAACTCAGAAATGCAAGCAATTCCTTGAGATAGAGGAAACACTATCCATACACAGGAAGAGAAAGAAGCAAGCAATAGCAAACCCAGCTTCTCCATTCCAAGACATTTATTTTTCATTCCCAATTTGTTAGGAATTAAACCAATAAAAGACACAAGAGCATATTACTATGCTTTAGAAAGCACAGTAAGACATTTTACAAAGGTAAAATAGCATCATCTTCATCACAGTAATTTATAGTTTAAAGTACTAACCAATTTGGCTCAATTCCTTACATTTTAATCCAGAGAATCAAAAGTATCTACACAGATTATCTCTTACTTTATCTTTTAGAATATAAAAATATGTAAATAAGTGTTAAGTATAATTTTTAAGCTAGCTTCTACAATAAATATATCTATTCAGCAAAGAAATTAAAGTTTTCAAGATATTTAGAAAAAAAGCTGAATAATTCAAATGCAAAGCATTTAAATCCATTCATTCAACAAATATTTACTGAGTACCTATTATATGTTAAATATTCCTCAGGTCTGAGGTATAGAACCAAGGAGGCTAGTAATTCTGGTCAGACACTGGTGTGGTAATAATACAGTAATGTGTAAATAAAAGGAAGGGTCTCTTATTCTTATGAGCTTGTATTCTAGTAGGGAAGACAGACAATCCCAAACCATAAATATACATGTGAGTAAACAGGGCTCTTTGTTGAAATTGCTCCACAAAGTGCTTGAGGGAGATGAGACTGAAGATAGATGCTGGTAAACGGTGAAGATTAGATTTACCAGAAACACCTGACTCTAGAAGACACTGCACATGCTTCCTTAGGAACACACGAACTGCAACTGTGCCTCCCACATCTCCATTCTTACCAGGCATCTCTTCATTTGGAATGACTGGACCTTCACAGCCTGTATGGCTTCATCCAAGAGCTTTTCCTGCTCATCCTGAGGGGACTGCTGTGTTGTAGGCTGAAAAATAAAAAATTCCACTGATGTCTCAAGCACATTCTTCTAGCAAGTACGTTATTTCTATAGTTCTAGCCATAGTCCTTCTCCAACAATGTCCAGCTCTATA